>NC_000012.12:115641946-115793461 GCF_000001405.40 Homo sapiens
ATAACTGCCCAGACTTGGAAGTAACCACTTACCTTCAGTAGGTAAGTGGATAATCTATAGTATATCCAGACAGTGGAATATGATTCAGCCCTAAAAGAAATGAGTTATCCAGCCATGAAAAGACATGGTGGAAACTTAAATGCATGTTACTATATGAAAGAAGCCAATCTGCAAAGGCTATGTACTGCATGAATCCGACTATATGACACTCTGGACAAAGCAAAACTATGGAAACAGTAAAAGATCGGTTGTTTCCAGGGGTTAAGAGGGAGAGAGGAATGAACAGGCAGAGCACAGGAAATGTTTTTAGAGTAGGGAAACTATTCTGTGTGATACTACAATGGTGGATACATGTCATCATACATCTGTGCAAACCTATAGGATGACAACATCAAGACTGACACCCTAATGTAAACTATGGACTCAGGTGATGATGTGTCCATGTATGTCCCTCAATTGTAACATGTGTGGGGAGCATGTTGATGATAAGAAAGGCTGTGCAAGTGTGGGGACAGGGTTGTGGGATATCTGTATCTTCCTATCAACATTTTTGGGAACGTAAAACTACTCTACAAATAAAGTTTATTAATTAAAAGAAAATTTTTTAACATAACATGACCTCCTGAGCACATTGCTAGAGCTCCTCCCAGGGCCCTGGGAGGGGTCAGTTCATGTGAGGTCCTGGAGCTTAAATGTCATTAGGTTATTTTTTTAGAACAAGTATAATTGAGTCAAAGAGGTCTGGGAACCAAGAAGGTTGACGTTTGGTAAATACGCACCTCAAGATGAAAGAGAACCTGCACACTTCTCTTTCCTCTTGAGGTGCATATTTACCAAAGCGTGCAATAAGCTTTGCACAGCAGTTAGTCTACTTGCAGAGGGGATAGAGAAGGCCAACTCTTCATTGAACAGAGGATGGTAAAGAGAGGTTCTACTGTAATTACCAATATTTGCTGAGCTTCTACTACATATCAGACAGTGTGCTAAGTGTCTGATAGAACAACATCATGATACCTGTATTCTTATTACCAATTTAGAGATTTAAAAAGCTGAAAAATGAAATGAGTTACTAGAGGCCTTACAGACACAATGAAGCTGGGATGCAAAGGTGTGCCTGGCTCCATGGAGTCATGCTGCCTTAATCCAGGGCTTCAGGCAATATATTTAACCATTTATCTTTTTTATATCATGGTGTAATGGTGTAATAGCACCAGGCTTGATGTCCTCTGAGGTCATGCATGTCAAAATTAAAATGAGATCATGGAACAACAGCACCTTTTAACTGTGAGATGCTGCATGTAATTTTCAGGATCCAGGGAGAATAGAGAAATCACTAAAGGTCTTTTGAACAGAAGGAGTTTAATACAGGGAGTTGACTACCTAGATCATGGAAGGGCTGATAAGCCAACAGGAAAGGCTGAAGGAAACCAAAGGATGGAGAATAAGGATTCCCCTTTGGCTGGAGGGACAACAAGAGAAGGTGATTTTGCCAGAGCCAGGAGCTGGGGTATCCAGTGGGTGCTACAGCCCTGGTAGGGGCTGCCCACACAGTTGAGATAAGGGAAGAAAGGGCTATCCGAAAGGAGATAAACACAGGGAGAAAAGACAGCAGCTGCTGGTAATGCCCCCAGAAGCAGAGAGAGGGGTAGAAATGCCCTGACTTCTCCCTATCCCCCACCCTCCAGCACTTCTCCCATTGGCCAACCCTTTACAGGAGACTGGGAAACATAGCTCCCTGTGATAAAGAACAGCACAGCATGGAAAGTACAGGAAGTGGATTGAAAGCAAACTTGCTATTAACCACACCACACATACACAAGATACTATTATTATCAGAGAGAGCTACAGGCTCCTGACTGACAGAGGAGGGAGGCTAGACATGGGTTTCTAAAATAACAATTCATTTCTCTTCTCCCCCAGGCCTAGAACGAATAGGTTAAAATACAGTGAAAAAACTCAGCCAGAGGTTTCTACATTTCTGAATAAAATCTTGACTGTATAAAACAGTTGGGGTGGAGGAGTTGCTAAGGAAAAGGGGGATAGACAGATTCTACATTTTATTCTGCCTGCAAGTTGCAAAAAGATAGCAATCCAAGGGCAGGGTTTATTTCCATCATAAAAATAGAGGGAGGCCTCAGGACTGATGGAAGTGACCTGCCCTCTCATCAGGGGCCTCTGGTAAGGAGGCGCATAGGAGCTCAACCCTAGAGACCAAGAATGACAGCATCCCTCCGGCACTCTTGATCCATCAGAAACTGACAGCCCTACTGTCCAGCAGTGAGCTGGCCAGCAGCTGCTGTGGCTGCATCCTGCTGGAGGGTGTTGATGAGAAGGAGAAAACAGCCCCAGCCAGAAGCCACCCATCCCGCTTCTCTCTTCATTGATGTCCTCCCCTGGATTCTGTCTTGGGAGGCAAATGCAGTTCCAGAGAAGCACTCCTGGCCTCATGACTTCTAAGCATCATGTCTCCATCAGGCCTGGTATTTGCAAATGGCTCCTAAGTCCAGGGCTATCTGTCCCCATTTGCTGTTGGAGCGCCCAGCACCTTACAGTTCAAGGCATAGGCCACGTCCAGCTCCTTTGGGGTATGTGTTCTCACTCCCGTAGGACTGGAACACTCCTACAACTCCTTTTTGTCAAGGTAGCACTGGCTCACCTCCCAGTTCTCAGTAAATATCACTCCCTCAGGTGACTCCTCTCTGACCACCCTCCTAACAGAAATGATCTATGCTTCATAGCACTCTTTACTTGCCTTATTTATTACACTCTATTGTTACTACTCATGTAATTACTTAGACCAGGGGTTGGCAAACTATAACCAGCAGGCCAATCCAATCCAGGGCCAGTTTGTGCTGTAAAGTTTTATTGGAACACAAGCATGTTCATTCATTTACATATTGTCTATGACTGCTTCCATACTACAATGATGGAGTTAAGTAGTTGCAACAAAGACCTCATGGCTGACAGAGCCTAAAGTATTTACTATCCGGCCTTAAGTATAATAATAATAATAATAATAATAATAATAATAATAATAATAAAAGAAAATATTCGCTGACCCCCAACCACAGTTATAAAAAGTTTCTTGATCATTCATCCCTGTGAGCAAAATATTTTTGCTTACTCTCCCTCCTAAAACAGTATGTGGATATATATTTTAATTACATTTTTAAATTGTGTATATTTTAATTGTATGTTTAAATTATATACATGCACTACTTAGTAATACTCCTCACACAGGATGAAACATACTCAATAGTAGAAATGTTTAAAGATTGAATTAAATATATACATAGAAGCTCTAATATTTTCTCCCTATGCTCAAGCATCATTGGTCCAAGATGGTGCCTAAAGCATAGGGGAGGGGTCTTAAAAATGTTTATTAGCTTAATAAAAGCCCTCTCTGAGGCTGCAGATCTTCCCAGACTGAATGAGCAACCCTCTTGAGCCTTTGCAAGCCCTATAGATTAAATTAGAGCCATCAAGCATAGAAATCCTCTCAAGACTGAGATGTCTCATTCGGTTTTCCCAGTGTCCACTGCCCTGTGAGCTCCATGAAGGCAGGAATTTTTTGTCTCTTGTGTTCATTGTCATATGCTCAACACATAGTGCCTAGAACATAGTGAGAATGTAATAAATACGTGTTGTCAGAATGAATGAATGAAAAAGCGTACCTCCCACATCAAGAAAATAACTGACATTTTCTTCCATTTCTGTCTTCTTCCTGAAAGACTCTCAGGTCAATAGGCACTTTGTTTTTGCATTGTGGATTTTTTTTTTTTTTTAATTAAAGGGTAGGCCTGGGCATGGTGGCGCATGCCTGCAATCCCAGCACTTTGGGAGGCCGAGGCTTGAGGTCAGGAGTTTGAGACAATCCTGGCCTGGCCAACATGGTAAAACCCCGTCTCTACTAAGAATACAAAAATTAGCTGGGCATGGTGGCACACGCCTGTTGTTCTAGCTATCCAGGAGGCTGAGGCAGGGGAATCACTTGAACCCAGGAGGTGAAGGTTGCATTGAACTGAGATCGAGCCACTGCACTCCAGCCTGGGCAACAGAGTGAGACTCTGTCTCAAAAAAAAAAAAAAAATTAATTAAAGACTGTATATATCCACACCCCCCCCCCAAGTTTTTTGTTTTGTTTTTAATAATTTTAACTTTTACTTTAGATGCAGTGGGTACATGTGCAGGTTTGTTACCTGGGTATATTGCATGATGCTGAGGTTTAGGATACAAATGATCCCATCACCCAAGTAGCAAAGCACAGTACCCAACAGTTGGTTTTTCAACCCTTGCCTCCTCCCTCCCTCCCACCTCTAGTAGTGCCCGGTGTCTATTGTTACCATCTTTATGTCCATGAGTACTCAGTGTTTAGGTCCCATTTATAAGTGAGAAAATGCTGTCTTTGGTTTTCTGTTCCTATGTTAATTCACTTAGGATAATGGCCTCCAGCTGTATCCACATTGCTGCAAAGAACACGATTTCATTCTTTTTCATGGCTGCATAGTATTCCATGTTGCATATATACCATGTTTTCTTTATCCAGTCCACTGTTGATGGGCACCTTGGTTGATTCTGGTTTTGTTATTGTGAATAGTGCTGCAATGAACATATGAGTGCAGGTCTTTTTGGTAGAATGATTTATTTTCTTTTGTATATATACCCAGTAATGGGATTGCCGGGTCAAAACTATCAACAGAAAAAACAGACAACCTAGAGAATGGGAGAAAATATTCATGAACTATGCATCCAACAAAACTCTAATATCAAGAATCTATAAGAAACTTAAATAATTTAACAAACAAAAACCAAATAACCCCATTAAAATGTGGGCACAAAACATGCAGACACTTCTCACAATAACACATATAAATGGCCAACAAACATACGAAAAAGTGCTCAATATCACTCATCATCAGGGAAATACAAATCAAAACCACAATGAAATACCGTCTCACACCAGTCAGAATGGCTAGTATTCAAAAGTCAAAGAACAAATGTTGGCCAGGCTGCAGAGAAAAGGGAATGCTTATGCACCGTTGGTGGGAATGCAAATTAGCTCAGCCACTGTGGAAAGCAGTTCGGAGATTTCCTTCATAACTGTTATGTCAGCCTCGCTTTCTGATCTATCCTACAAGCTGGGTGCAGGCCTCTCTTAAGGCTCTCGCCCATAGGGCCAACTGTCTACTGTGCTTCTTTACTTTGGATGTTTCACAAGGCACATCAGACTCAAAGAGTCTGACACACAGCTTTGTCTCACCCAAATACTTCTCACTCAAATACTTCTCTCCCACCCTGTCACAGAGAACATGCCACCAACAGATCCAGTTCAAGTTGAAAACCTGGGGGCTCACCATGATTTCCTCTCCCACTTAACTGCTCCAGCGCCCTTCTAGGTCAACCTCCAAATAATCACCATCTCGATGCTGTGGACTCCACCTCTATGTCCCTCTCATCCAAATTCTCCTCTGCCTCCTCACATCCACTGCCCAAGTCCAAGGCACTATCCTCTTCCTCCTAGATCCCTGCAACATCTGCATCACTAGTTTCCTGGCCTCTTGCCTCCTACTCACTAGCAAATCTTTTTCCCCACAGAGAAAATCCAGGGGATTCTTCTAATAGGCACATCTGAAATGAAATTTTAACTCCCTCTCTACTGGCTTCAGTATAGCATCCAAACTCCTTAGAGTTATGGGATAAGCCCTGCTGGCCCTGGTTTCTGCTCTCTGCAAAGCTACAGATGCTGAAGATGCAAGAGACTGGAATACGGAAAACTGACATTTGCCACGTGACTGCATCGCACTGAGTACTGTGCTGGGTGCTTCATGCTTATTCCCATCCTGACATGTCCTCTATAAATTGATCTATAAGTTTATCTATCATCCCGAGGTTGGTCTCAGGCTTATAGCATTTTTTTTATTCTTTAATATGTTTATTTCAGAAAATAGAATGTCAACCATGTCTGTTCCATTAAAGGTCCAAACTAATTTCTTTGAAGTCAATCACAATTTTTGTTTCTTAATCAGCAGAGTGTGGGCCATTTGTTCTATGGACCCTACCTTCTGGGTGTTTTATCTCTAAGGTGTTTTAACCTGTATTAGCTGATAGTACCCATAAGCAAAACTCCAGGTCTTTAAAAACCATACTGAATTCCTTAGAATTAGGTTTGGTTGCATGTGATGAAACACCCAAAATATTAGTTTAAGAAAACTAGAAGTTCATGTCTGTGTCTCCTAAAGTAAGTCCAGAGACAAGCAATCCAGCATGATATGGCAGTTTAATAATCAGGAGACCCAAGCTGCTTTTTTTCTTGTTGTGCCACCTTTCTTAACTTCCTGCCTCATAGTCTAAAATAGCTGTTGGGCTCTAGCCCTCATGTCTGCATTCCAACCATATGGAGCAGCAAGAGAAGAAGCAAGGGGTTTGTTCCAGCTGTCTTTTTAAGGACATTAACCATACAACACCACCACTTAAATTTCAGTGGGCAGAACATGGCCACACTTTGCTGGAAGGAAGTCTGGGAAATGTCTTCATTCCAGCTATCTATTGTCCAGCTAAAGATGGAGGTTCTGTTACTAAGACAGACAGAGAAAACAGGCAGGGCCACATTAACACCAATCTACCACAGGTGTTCAGCTATTCCACGTTGCCCCAAGCCAGGATATCTCTATAACCATTACACAAAAACAAACAGAGACCAAATTTAAGTTAAAGATTGCACAATGCACAATCAGGCAACTCTGTTTATTCATCCATCCATTTGTTCACTCATTCAACAAATATTTATGTAGCATCTGTTTTAAGCTGGGCACAGGGCAAGATACAAGATACAAGAACTGAAAAAGAATATGAAGCAAGAAATGAGTTGTCCTGCTTGATCCACACAGATGTAATGAGAATCCAGTGATAATGGGGTTGGTGTATAAACTGTTAATGGATGACGTTATTGGAGCCTGAATGTTGGTCCTCTAGCGCAAATGCCCTTGCTTTACCATGCAGGCCTTTACTGCTTTGTTTCTTATATAAATATACCCTCAAAGGACAAAACAGAGTTTCTAATCTCAAGAAAATGTGTGTATGTATACTTTAGAAGTAAAAAATTTTTAAAATTTTAAAAAGAGTTTCTAATCTCAAGAAAATGTGTGTATGTATGCTTTAGAAGTAAAAAAAAAAAAAGGCAATTTCAGTGAAAGAAAAAAGAATATGAAGTTTGAATTCTTCACAAGCTTACTCCTGAGGTTATTTTAAATGAAACAATGTATCACTTAATGAATAAGTATCATTACATGTACCATCATGTATCACAAGAAAGCACCAAGAATCCAAGAATAGAACAATATAGACCAGCAGTTCCAGTAAAGCCTGCTTTAGTCACAGATGTGAGGTTGCAGAACTCTTCCCAGGTCTTCAGACTGGGCCACCTAGAGCTCATCTTACCAAGTAAACTTCAGAGTGTGGCCTGCTCTGCCCCCTCCCCCAGTCATGTCCAAGGTCAGAATCCAGCCAGGGGCCTCAAACAGGCAGAAATATTTATGCCAACTCCAGAATACCAAACCTAAGAGACAGAGCTGATGCCACTTGAAAGGAATCAGGGCGGAATCTCCAGAGATTAAGAAAATGACAGTGACCAAGTTGCAAAGGGGAAGGGGGTGAGAACAAGTGGAGATTAAAGCAGCCGGGCCATTTGTTATTTTGATTTATGCTTTTTTTTATTTTAAAGGGAATTAAAGAAGATGAATTAAGACTTCATTAGATGCCGACAACTTCAGGAAGATTAATCCATCTTCCATTTGCATTAAGACTCACAATCTCTCCAATCTCTCCAGGCCTAGGGTGAAGGAAAGGGAAAGCTATGGATACGTTTCTGTCTTCCCCACCCTGCACCCCCTACCTACCTCTCCCCTCTGGCCACTTTCCCTTTCATGTCTTTGTTTGACATATAGGAAAGAATCATGAGGTGTTGAGTATCATTAACTTCCAAACACCTATGAAATCAGTAGGGAAGTGCAAACATTGTGGACCCCGACCGTCTCTGCAAATGATCTATCCTAAAGTCCTCCCCTTTGGAGATGAAAAGAAATAGTTTGGCAGACTGACAGTCTCGGGGAGAGAGGCCTGAATGAACAGGCAGGGGACACGCAGAATAAATGAAAATATGATTGACTTCTTACCTCATTCCGGCTCACACATGGTTCTGAGCATTTAATAAACAGGTTGACACTCCGAGTTCCCCTCATTAGGTGAATGTGGAGACCCCGACTGTTATAAATCAGAAGGGCAGGTTATCAAAGCTTGTGATCTTTAACTGTGTCAGGGCGCCCTCGTGTCTGCTGAAATGGAGGCAGCAACCTGCAAGCTGCAAAGAATTAGCCACTATACCACGATTTAATACACATGCACCCAGGAGGAGGTGGGAGGCTGGCGCTACAGGCAGTTTTTCCAGGTACCCAGCACATGTGGCTGGCCCTCGGGCACAGTTTACCTGGGGCTGAATGGTACCTGGGGATAAAGGCGAGGGATGACCCTGTGATGGATCAATAAATAGACCTGTGTTTAGTTAGACTAGGATCAATGGAGGAAAAATCACTATGGAATGTTAGAATTCCCAAGCCAGAATGGGCTTTAGGAAAACCCTCTCATCTGGTGATTTCCCAGCCTAACTTCACATCAAAATCTAATGGGGCTGGGCGCCATGGTGGCTCATGCCTATAATCCCAGCACTTTGGGAGGCCTAGCTGGGTGGATCACCTGAGGTTAGGAGTTCGAGACCAGCCTGGCCAACATGGTGAAACCGTGTCTCTACAGAAAGTACAAAAATTAGTTGGGCATGGTGACAGGTGCCTGTAATCCCAGCTGCTCAGGAGGCTGAGGCAAGAGAACCGCTTGAACTCAGGAGGCACAGGCTGCAGTGAGCCCAGATCACACCACTGCACTCCAGCCTAGGTGACAGAGCAAGACTCTGTCTCAAAAAATATATACATATATATGTATTTTATATATATGTATTATATATATGTGTATATATGTGTATGTATATATATATGTATGTGTATATATATGTGTGTGTATATATATATAATGGAAAACTGATAATTTCTAATAAGGTTAAAAAGACTTCTACCCTGTGACCCTGAAATTACATCTCATGAGAAATGAATGCATATGCCCACAAAAATACTTGTATACAAATGCTCACAGTGACTTAGTTCATAAGAGCTCAAAACTGGAAACAGACCAAATATCCCCCCACAGGAGAATGGATACAAACACACAGTGGCACGTCCATGCAATGGAATATTATTCAGCAAGAAAAAAGAAGCAGGCACTGCTGATCTGTGTAACAACATGAATGAATCCCATGGATCTGATGTTGAATGAAAGAATCTAGGCTTAGGAAAGTACATGCTGTGTGATTCCATTTCTATGAAATTCAAAGACAGACAAAGCTGATCTTGCCTGGTAATAAAAGTCAGGACAATAGTAGGACAGAGGGGCAGGATTTGGAGCACAAGGAAACTTTCTGGGGAGGTGGGAATGACCTATATCTGAATCTGAATGATAGTTACAGGAGTGAACACATTTGCAAAAATTCAACAACTGGTACATTTGATATTTGCATATCTTGCTATATATATAAATCATACCCCAGTAAAGTAAAACAAATCAATGAAACAAGTAAAAACAAATAAATAAATAAATGCAGAGTCTAGAGCCTTTGCACATGCTATTCCCTTGGCTTGGAATATCATGTCCCCACCCCCTGATATTTAAGAGGCTAGCCCCGTCCTATCATTCAGGTCTTAGCTTAACTCTCTCCTCCACAGAGAACTCTGCCATTAATTGCTGCATCATTTGGGTTTTCGGCTTGTTTTTATACTCCTAATCATGCTCAGAAATTTTCTTGTGTGTACTCTGCCTCTCCATCCACCCCTATCACCAATAGACTGTGAGTGCCTAAGCACAGGGGTCTTATTGATTGTGTTCACTGCCCGTGCTGTGTCTCCATTCACCCCATTGCGCCTGTTGTTCACCACTCTCCACCTGCTCTCAGCTTCAGAGCTGCCTTGCTAGAGTGCAGCAGTGCACTCCCTGAACTTCTGACTTCGGGGTGAGTCTTGGCCAATGGGAAATCTCAGCAGGAAATTGAAAGGAAAGAGGAGTGGGAGAATGGGGTGACACATCCTTCTCTGTGGCATCCCCACAAGCTGACTGCATCTCCAGGTCAGTGGTTCTCAATCAAGTGTAATGTTGCCCCGCAAGGGACATTTGGCAATGTCTGGAGAAATATTTGGTTGCCACAACTGGGGGTGATGGTGCTGCTGGTATCTGTTGGTTACAGGACAGGGACTACAATGTACAGGACAGCCCCCACAACAATTACCCAAGCCCAAATGTCAACAGTGCCAAGGTTAAGAAACTGCTCTCGGTGAAGGTCATGGTTCTTCTAAGGAGGCATCTCCATAACTCTGTCCTTCCAGGGTCAGGTGAACATTCCCCCCGACTCCATCAGGTCCAGAGACGGTAAAAGCCCCACTGTTGCTATCCTTGCTGCTTCCCCTATATCCCGCCCACACCTTTGTATTAGTCCCTCTGTGAAAACTCCTCAAATTACCCTAATTGGAGTGCACTATTCTATTTCCTGATGGAACACTCACAAGCAGGCCATTTCATCTCCAGCAGCTACATGCTTAGTAAATATAAATAAATATTTGTTTAAGTAATTAATGGATAAGAGTCTCCTAGAAGATCAGGATTTAAAAGTCAAAGATAAATCTTAGAACTTATATATTTTTACAGCTTTATTGAAGTATAATTGATACAGAAAAAAACTGCACATACTTAATGTATACAATCTGATGGGTTTGGACATGTGTATACAGCCATGATGTCATCACCACAATCAAGGTAATAAGTATATTTATCACCTCCAATGGTGTCCTTGTATCCCTTTGCAGTATGTGTTTGTGCATGTGTGTGTGTGTTAAGAAGACTTAACATGAAATTCAACCTCTTAAAACAAATTTTTAAGTGCACATCATATCATTAACTGTACATTAACTATTGTACAGCATATCCCTAGAACTTACTCATCTTGCGTAACTGCAACTTTATACTCATTGAACAAACTCTCCACTTCCCCCTCCTCCCATCCTGTGACAACCACCCTTCTATTTCTGCTTCTGTAAGTTGGATTATTTTAAATACCTCTTGTAAGTGGAATCATGCCATATTTGTCCTTCTGTGACCGGAACTTAATATTTTTTAAAAGATTCTTCAGGTGATTCTAGAACTAGTCCCACATGTGTGCAGGGGAAACTGAGACCCAGAGAGGGGAAAGTACTTTTTGAGGATCACACCATTGTGAGAAGCAGCCTGGGTCCAGAAAGCACCCATTCTTGACATTGATTATTAATTCCATTACCTTTTGCTGCTTTCCCTCAAATTATTTTCCCCATAACATCGCTGAGGCCTTTAGACATAATGCATATTCCAAACTTCACACCTCCTGCATTTTAAAGGACATTCAATCTGTGCGATTCTAATGCATCCACTCACACACAGCTCTGAATGTCCAGGGCTGGAGGGGCAGTCCCACAGAGGGGCCAAGGGCCTGAGGACAACAGATATTTCTGATTCAGTCCGAGGGTCTGCCACATCCAAGCTCCCAAGCTCCATGACCTACTAAGACTCAGCTCCCTTGTCTGGAAATTGAAGATGATGGTGCTTACATCTTAGATTTGTTAAAGGCCTCCATGAGATGACGGTTATAAAGTGTGTGTCACAGAGCTGGGCATGTCGTGAGGTTGCAGAGAGTGTTGGTTATGGCTAAGACGCCCTTCAAGTCCAATTTTCTCTGTATTTTGTCTGCCAGAATCCTCAAAATGTCCAATGTGACTGAGCCAAGACATCTTGAGTCCCCAAAAGCAAGAGATTTTGCTTGCATTTCTCTCTATATCCTTAGCTAAATTATGGACCAGATAGAAGCCAGTTCCAAGCCACTAAGACCCAGACTGTAGATTTAAATTGCTGACAATAGGTTTAGACTTGCCAATGAAAAAATCCACATTCTCGTGTAAGCTTAAGAGAACAAAGCTTCTTCGAGGTTTTTTTTAAAAGAGTGGAATTAGGATCTCATGTCTTTGTCTTTTCTCTTTACACCCAGATTAAAGTCTTTAATACTAAGGGAACTATCTGATTTTCCGCGTAGAAAGAACGAATTCTGTAAGTCAGAATATTTTAAATACCTCTTATAAGTAGAATCATGTCATATTTGTCCTTCTGTCACCAGAACTTACATTTTTAAAAATATTCCCCAGGTGATCTTTTAAAAGTTTCCCCAGGTGGGCCAGGCATGGTGGCTTGCACCTGTAACCCCAACACTTTGGGAGGCCAAGGTGAGTGAATCACCTGAGCCCAGGATTTGAGACCAGCCTGGGCAACAGAGTGAGACCTCATCTCTACAAAAAAATACAAAATATTAGCCAGGTATGCTAGCACACACCTGTGGTCCCAGCTACTCACTCGGGAGGCTGAGGTGAGATCACTTGAGCCTGGGAGGCCAAGGCTGCAGTGAGCTATGATTGTGCCACTGCACTCCAGCCTTGATGACACAGTGAGACCCTGTCTCCAAAAATAAAAATTAAAAATAGAATAAATTGGTTGAGAATGGAAGAGGTAAGAAGATTCATGCCTCTCTTCCTCCATAACTTGCAGACCTGAACATTGATTAGTCTGAGAGAGAACAAAAATGTTTGCTTCTAGCAATATGGCTTATAAGTCAGACTCAAGAAAGGTCTAAAGAGATGGAGAGAATAAGGGCATTTTCTCTTTAATAGAGACTTTAAATGCAATGGCTCCAGCGTGTCCTCAGTATATTCTGAGATGTGGGCTCTTCACCTGTAAAATTGGGCCATATCAATACCTACCTCATGATGTTGCTGTAAAACTTGACTGCAACCAACAGTGTAAAAGCGTTCCTATTTCTCCACATCCTCTCCAGCATCTGTTGTTTCCTGACTTTTTAATGATCGCCATTCTAACTGGCATGAGATGGTATCTCATCATGGCTTTGATTTGTATTTCTCTAATGACCAGTGATGGTGAGCTTTTTTTCATGTTTGTTGGCCGCATAAATGTCTTCTTTTGAGAAGTGTCTGTTCATATCCTTCACCCACTTTTTGATGGGGTTGTTTGTTTTTTCTTGTAAATGTGTTGAAGTTCCTTGTAGATTTTGGATATTACCACCATGGCACATGTGTACCTATGTAACAAACCTGCACGTTCTGCACATGTATCCCAGAACCTAAAGTATAATTTAAAAAATTAGAAAAATAAATGGACTGCTATACACAATTGTAGTATTACTTACTGTCTACAAGTTTGTGTGCTGCCTTTTTCAGTTAACACTCTCATTGTGATTGCCTCTCAGAAAAAATGACTTAATTTTTTTCTTCAAATTACATAGTCAATGTTACTTTAGAAAATATGAGCAGTATTTCTAAGAATACTGAACAAAGTAAGTTACCCAAAACCTCCGCATCCTAAGATAGTTACCATTAGCATTTGGGGAATGGTTTTTCATGCATCTCTTTATGCGTTTTATGCTGCTTTTAAAAATCCAACCTCATGTTTGGATCAGCTGTAAATTGGTGGAATTTGGTCCCAGCTATGGCACTTGGATATGTGATTTAACCTTTCTGGGCCTTGGTACCTTCATCTATAAAAGAGTACATTCACTTTCTGGGGCTGCTATAAGAAATTGCCACAAACTGGGTGGCTTAAAACAACAGAAATCTGTTCTCTTTCAGTTCTGGAAGCCAAAAAAGTCCTAAATCAAGTTGAAAGTCGGGGCTTTTCCAGAGGAGGAGGCTCCAGAGGCTCTGAAGGAGGATCTGTTTTGCACCTCTCTCCTAGCTTCTGGTGACCGCTGGCAACCCCTAGAGTTCCTTAGCTTCTAGACACATCACTCCAGTCTCTGCCTCTGTCTTCGCATGGCCTTCACCTCCATGTCTGTGTCTTCTCTTCTTATAAAGACACTCATCATTGGATTTAGAGCTTGTTCAGATAATCCAGAATGATCTCATCTCAAGATCCCTAATTTAATTACATCTGCAAAGACTCTTTTAAAATAAGCAAACATTCACAGGTTCCGGGTGGATATATCTTTTTTGCAGGGGGTTGGGGGCACCATTTGACCTCCTGCAAATGGAGATAAGAATAGTTGCCTCCAATAGCTACTTTGACAAACAAGTTGGATGCGATAATGCATATGCAATTCCTGGCATATGATTAATGATCAATGAATGCTGTGTATTAATAATCTTATCTGAAGGAGGACATTGCTCCTTCAGCTCCTTTCTGGAGGAATAAAGTAAGATATAAATAAACAAACACAAATGAATAATTCTGAAGTTCAGATGGGTGCCAAAAATGTAATTTTCTTGGTTCTCTGTGAGCTTTCTCTAGTGTTTTAAAGTAGAGAGTTTTCATATATGTAGGCTCTAATTTTTTTCTATAAATTTCCTTTAGCTTTTCTCTTCATTCTGGCTTTTCTTCCTTCTGTCACAGCTCAGTGGGTTGGCCATTTTACCCAGAAAAAAAATAAAGCTTCAGAAAGTATAATAGATTCAATCAAATCAGTTAGATGAATTACATTTTACTTAGAATGAAAAACCTACCATTCATTTCAACATGTAGCTTTTCATGCTTTCATGACATTGAGGTTAAATAGAAATTCTTTACAGCTTCGTTATTTCAAAGCATAGGGTTGTTCTGATTTTTTTAAACCTGATAAATGAAAATCAAGACTTATGAAAGAGCAGAGAAAAAGAAAGCAACTGTTCACAAAAAGATTTGTCCTTGACCAAAAGATGCTCCTAGTGCATTTTTGATGACTTGGCCTACAAGAAGTGAGTAACAATAGAGTGAGAAAAGTAATTGAGAGGCCAGAGAAGCGGGTTTTATTCTGGGATATATTACTCTCTACCAGTGTAGCATGTTGGTAAAGTGACCTCTCTGTCCCTTTGTTTCCCTCTTATAGAATAAGGGAGGGTTGGAAGGGGTTACCACTGAGGTCTCTTTCAGCTCTGATCTTCTAGAGCTCATAAGTCAAATGTTAACATTGCTCAAATCAAAAAGTTAACTTGAATCCCTTCATCAGTGGCTAAGGGAGCATTAGAATTGAGTTCAGTAAGTTTTCTGCACTCAAAATATATAATGGCATTTGTTGACTTGGAAACTTCCAGGTCTTTTGATCTAAGAACAGGGCGTTCTGGAGTGAATGAGCAAGACAGGAAATCAACCACCTCACACATGAAGCTGAATAACAGTCTTGAGACAACACATTCAGACTTGTCCCGAGGCTCTGTGCCCACTTGTCCAGTGGCAGAACCCGAGGTGAAAGTCCACGAGGAAAATAGGAGGAAGGACATTCGTGGATAGAAGATCTGGCTTTCCACATGAAGGAGGAATAGCTCAGGCAAGGACTGGATTTTAAAATTCCTGGTCCCTCCCACCAAGTCTTATAACAGAATGGTGTTTGGTGAGCACTCAGCTGACTCACTGACTGCCAGTTGTTCAGGAGGGGTAAGGGAGCAGAGGGGAGGGTATCTCCTGGAGAGCACTGGCCACCAAAGGAAGCTCCATGAATTCAGGGGGCAGGAGAAAATGTGGAGAGGAGATGGTTCCATTGTGGATCTGCCTGCCTGGCCCCCACACCCTGTTACCCCACAATCAGCCACCGACTTCATTCATTCTGGGCCTTTGTTTCATCACAGTCATCATCTTCATCACCCTCTTCCTCCTCTTCTCCTCCTCTCCTCCTCTTCCCCTCCTCCTCATCCTCCTTCTTCTTCCTCCTCCCCTCCTCCTCCTTCTTCCTCGTCCTCCTTCTTCTTCCTCCTCCTCTTCCTTTTCTCCTCCTCTTCCTCCTCCTCTTCTTCTCCTTCTTCTTCTTCCTTCTCTTCTTCTTCCTCCTCCTCCATCTTCCCCCCTCCTCCTCATTACTATCATCATCATCACCATTTCTTCCAGTGTTTATTCTATATATTTCTGCCAATATGCTAAGTACTTAACAACTGTACATGTACTTTCTCTTAACCATCACAGCAATTTAAGGAGGTGATCACTACTCACTACTTGTCCTGGTCTGGTTTCCTCCCCCAGAACAGGTCTTGAGATAAGGATTTGTGTGTAAGTGGTTTATTTGGGGATAACCCCAGGAAGTCTTGGAGGGAATAAAAGGCAGGAGCGCAGATATAAAGGGTGCCTTGCTGAGCAGTTACCATGGTGGGTAACTGGGGCCTGGTCTTGCCATGGGCCCCTGAAGGGCTGTGAGAACACACCTCAGAGTTGGCCCAGGGAGGAAATGGGGTGGATAAATAAGGGGTATTTATTTACCACACCCCATTCCTCATTGGTTGACATTGCTTCTGGGGGCATCAACTCTCTGATACTTCTGACCATCCTGGGCTGAGCACATATCTGCAGTCAGACAGCCCTTAGACAGAGGACTAAATGTCAGTGTTTTGGCAACTGTCAATCTAAGCTGTAGTTGGCTTGAGAGGTTAGAGGGGGCACAGGGTTATAGGCAGGGCACCAAATAGCATCTATATGATTATTATTCCAATCTTAGAGGAGAAGAAATAAAAGCTTAGAGAGGTGAAGTAACTGATTTAGATCACAGAGCCCATAATGGTGGAGCTGGGATTGAACCTGGGTCTATGGATTCAAGAACCTGAGCTATTAATTCCAATGCTCCCCAGCCCCATCCATTAAAGGTGGGAATTAGTTCTAAACTGCCTTCCACCTACACCTCACCATCTCTGGTTCCAGCTAACAAGGTTTAGAGTTGAGGGAGAGGAGTTTTTACATTCATGTCTGTCACCCCTCTCTGCTGTCTCTAGGACAAGTTCAGTAGAGAGGTGGGAGGGGGTTCAAACATGAGGCTGGTGTCCCTGGCAATCATGAAACTTCCACCTTCCACATCAGCTGGCTGTTCATCCCTCTCCCACACCAATCAATGAGGCTTGAGGCTCTGAAAGTTTGGAGAAATCATTTAAACATTCTGACCCTCAGCTTCCTCATCTAGACTGTGGAAGAAATGATGAGTACCTACTTCATAAGGTTGTTGACAGAATTAAATGAGATAATGAATAATAAGAGCTTAGCATAGCATCTGGCATATAATAAGTGCTTGTTAGTTTATTATTTCTATCATGCATTATTAATTATTATAATTACCTGGGAATCTGATCTTCCACCTACAAATACTTTGTTTCTAAAATGAAAATCAGGACATTACCTGTGACAGAGTCTAACAACAAAAGGCAATAAGGAAAATAAGACAAATTCACACTTAATTTCCCTTGATGGTCTACCATACCGGGGAAGCTACAAGCTGACCTGTATATGCGTCTTTATGGAAGGGGAGAAGGATGTGTGTGGAAGCCTACAGCCATCTGGCCAGGCCCCTCTGTTGCCTGATGTCAACGTTTGACTTGTTATGGCCCTGTGATGGCCCTGCTTTTCTCCTTGCCCCCATAAATTCTGTTCTCAAGGCAGCAGCCACCAGAGTAGTCCTGTTAAAACATTAAGGCAGATCCTATCACACTTCTGTTCAAAATAAAACAATGGTTTCCTTTCCTCCCAGAGAACAGCTAAGCCTTGACGACGGCCACAAAAGCCTCCATGCTGCAGAGTCTGAACACTTCCTTTATCTCCTGCCTCCCCTCTGGGCCCTGTCTCCAGCTCCCCCCACTCCATACTGATTCCCTTGGTTGTTTTGACAGCCCAGTGCATACCCAGGGTATTTCCACTGGCTGTTGTCTCCTTCTGGGATCTTCTTCCTCCATAACCAAATGGCTTACTTCGTTGCCTCCTTCAAGTCTTTGTCAGATGTCACCTTCTCAATAAGGACTTCCCCAACCACACCATTTAAATTACAACAATCTCCCATCCCCATCGCACCAGTGAGACTCAACTCCCCTTCACCTACTCTATATATGTATTGACCATCAACAGACTATCATTTACCTATTTAGTATTAAATAGTTCACAGTTTACAGTCTTGTCTCTGTCCCTATAGAACTGTTCTCCCTTTAGAACAGTTATTCTTGCTCCCTATAGAATGGCATCTGCAGACATATCTTGGGGGCAAAAAGAGTAATTTTTTGCTCTACTGGAATCTAGTAGGTAGAGGCCAGTGACACTGCTACACATCCCACAATGCACAGGACAGCCCCCACGACAAAAAATTCTCCAGCCCAAAATGTCAGTAGTGCTGAGGTTGAGGAATTGTGCTATAGAATGAAACTTCCCAAGGACAGGGCTTTTTGGTTGATTTTCTACATTTTGCTATATTTCAGCATCTAGAACAGGACCTGGAACATAGTAATCACTCAATAAATATTTGGGGGATGAATCATCCTTAGAAACGGTCCCCAGAGGGAAGACTTTCAGAGTCTGGAGATCTCAAAAACATGCAAAATTCCTTTTAAAATCAGCAGCAGAACAAATACACGGACACGGATCGGACAGTGGGAAAGACCCAGTTCCTTGTTTGTAAAGGAATCGTTTCCACCGGAAAGAAAGAAAGATGTCCTCCAACGGCCCCACCCGGAACTCGCACATTGTGTTCTAAGTTTAACACACCTTGTGCTCTCTCTGCTGAAACCCTTGGCTCCAACCCATAATATCTCTGAATCCAGGAAACCATTATGACTGGTCAGGGTCAAAGGTTGCTCCTATTGTAACCCACTTCCTCCATCAGAGTTTTAAATTTGGAAAACGTTCTTATTGCTATTGTATGGAATGTCAGCTCTCAGATAACCTCAGAATTATTTTTATTTGTCTACCATGACCACCCCACCACACACCAAAAAAAAAAAAAAAAAAAAAAGGTTTAAAAAAACCCCGCAGAGTGGGAGGGGGCTTTCCTCAACATACTGTTAACAGAGAAAGAATCAGATAAGAGCCAGCTGATATTTTCAGCCTTTAACTGAATAAAGGGAAGGAGAAGTAGTTAAATTCCCAAAGGGCCCCCAAAATTAAATTCCAATATACTTTTTAAGATGGCTAGGATAGGAAAATGATCAGAACCCTAAGAGCGTAGCAATTTTAGATATTAGCAAGCACTTAAAACTTTAAGGAGGTTGTTCTAATAGTCTAGGACATTTCCGGAACTTATTGCCCACTTTTTATTTTTACATGAGGAAGAATTATAGTACCTATAAATATGCCCTGGAATTGTAATGAGGACAGGAGAGATATCTCTATATTTGACCAGGAAAAGAAGAAGATCCAAAGGGAATTTGGGTGATGAGGAATGCCAGATCTTGGAACTACATACAGTAATTAAATGGCAAAAGGAAGATTGTCTTGGCCAACAGTCCGGAAAGACTGGGCACCTTGCCATTTTTAAGGAGAAGGCATGTTAGAGGAAAGAGTAGCTGGAAGGTCTTTGAGGCACTTACAAAGTCAGAAAAAAAAAGTTATTTCAGTCAGTTCTGCAAATATTCAGAGCCTTTCCTCTGTTTAAGGCCCAATGCTAAGTGCTGGCAGTACAGACAGGAGACGCTAGAGTGTGATGCCAGATGCATGGGCTTTGGGTTTTGATGGCTGCTCTACCACTTACTTGCTGTGAGCCTGAGAAGCATACTTAACCTCACTAAGACTTGGTTTCCCCAACTGAAGAATAGGATGGAAAATAATCATTACCTCATGGGGTTGTTGTGAGGATGCTGTTTGACAGAGTCTCCAGCATGTTGAAAGTATTGAGTAGTAAACATTAGCATTATTAGAAGAGAAGGTTTTTCTTAAAACGTTCAGATTCTAATGGGGCAAACATCGTCATAATTAAGAGAGCAGCTATAATTTATTGTGCATCTGCTATATGCCAGGTTCTGTACTATCTCATTGAATCCCTGCAATGCTATCTCATTGAATCCCAGAAACAATCTTTGATAGACATAAGCACTGCCCAACCATATGTCTGGTTCTCCTTCAGCCCTTAGGGCAACTGCACAATCCAATACTCTTTGCATTTGGGTTGAGCCATGTGATTAATTCTGGCCAATATAGTGTGGGTTAAAATTATGCCTGTCACTGCCTTGCTGGAACATTTAATTGCCTATGTATGACCCTGACGCTCATAATCTTCTCCTTGCCACCATGGCAAGTGCCATGCCAGTTAGTGGGGTCTTGGTCATCATTGAGCCCTTGCTGCCTAGAGAGTCATATTTGCCCACTAACATACCCTGTACTGGCACCTTTCCCTTCTCTTCTCATTTTCTTACTTCTGTATCAGTACTTCCTGGTGGAATCACTTCCCCCAAAGCTTCTTGTACTCAAAATCCAGTTGCTTGTCCCTAAGGTAGTCATCTTCACCACTGAAGACAGACCTTGAAAATCCCATCTGGAATTATCTAGAGATGAACTAAACTCTCCATCAGGTTAAAAAAAAAAAAAAAAAAAAGTGGGTGTTGCTCCAACTCCTTAATCTAATTTATTTTGAACCATCTTCTGTCTATGTGAATATTGCTCTTAGTCCTACAGTGAGAATAACAGAGAGGAGGCCCCTGCTAATGTGCAAAGAACACGTAGCATGAGGAAGAAATAACCCTGTGTTGCTCTAAGCCATTGAGATTTAGGGATAGGTCATTACTATAGCATGACTTAGCTTCTACAGGCTCTCATACAACCCTATACAATAAGCACCATACTCATCACCACTCCACAGGCAAGGGACATAAGCTCAGAAAGGTTAAATGATCTGCCCACTTTCTAAATCTCACAACTAGCAAGCCCTGGGGGCAGAATTTACACCCATTTCTGTCTGAGTTCAAAGTTCACGCCCAAAATTGCTATACCATACAGATAAAAGGATCATTCATTTGCACTTAAATAAAGATTTGTAAATTATAAAACATTAAATAACATGAAGAATTTGTTGCCAGTATAGAATGTTGGAAGACTACTCAAGCAAAACCGTGCCTTCTCCTGAGAATTGAAAACAGGGCTTTAAAAACAGGCTAAAATAGGCTGACACCTCTGATATAGATAAAATGACCAAGTATAGCATCCAGAACCGAAACAACACTCAATACACATTACTATGTGGACAACAGGATGGGAGAGAGGGAGGAAGCAGGGAGAAACTTCATTTTCTGTTGCCATGTTCCACATTGTCATGAGACAGGGGCAGATGAAGAGAATCTCTGGTTACTGGGGTTGGGAAGCCTTTATTCTTCATCTCCTTCATCTGTTCAGAATGATTTCATGAGCTAATTAGCCCAAGGGTAGCCCTCAACCAATGATGAATATAAGGTAGATGATAAATGCTCAGGTCTCCTGCCTCTCAACTCAGAGATGAGACAACACTGAAGGATGTTCTATACAATCTCCCAGAAGTCCCTAGAGTACGATTACCAGATTAAGCAAATAAAAATACAGTAAGCCAGTTAAAATTAAATTTCAGATAAACAATGATCAAGTTTTAGGATAGGTATGCCCTATGCAATATGTGGGACACACACTAAAAAATTACTTGTTTAGGCAGGGCACAGTGGTTCACGCCTGTAATCCCAGCACTTTGGGAGACCAAGGCAGGCGGGTCTCAAGGTCAGGAGTTCGAGACCAGCCTAGCCAACATGGTGAAATCCCGTCTCTACTAAAAATACAAAAATTAGCCAGGCATGGTGGTGGGCACCTGTAATTCCAGCTACCTGGGAGGCTGAGGCAGGAGAATTGCTTGAACCCAGAAGGCGGAGGTAGCAGTGGGCTGAGATCGTGCCACTGTACTCCAGCCTATGTGAAAGAGCGAAACTCCATCTCAAAAAAAAAAAAAATTGCTTGTTTATATACATTTAAATTTAACTGGAGCCTTGTGTTTTATCTGCCAACCCAGAATCAGTGGGATAGAGCCCCAGTTGCTCCGAGTTGTAACTTGCTTGTTAATACATTATTTTCACTTCCTTACTGCCCTACCAGTGATTCCTAGAATCACTTCCCAACTAAACTATTGGTCCTCAAATTCTAGATGCTTCTAGAAAAACTCAACTTGAGACAGAGACCTTAAGCCACTAATGGTAGAGGTACGGAAGTTTCCCTATCAAAGACTCTGGAATGTATCCAGTCAAGAGCTAAGTTAACTGGCAATGATTTCTTAATTATGGCATCAAAAGCACAGGCAACAAATCCAAAAATAGACAAGGGGGACTACATCAAACTAAAAGCTTCTCTATAGCAAAGGAGACAATCAACAGAGTGAAAAGTTAACCTATGGAATGGGAGAAAATATTTGCAAGCCATATATCTGATAAGGGGTTAATATTCAAAATATATAAGGAACTCCTACAACTTGACAGCAAAAAAACAAACAAGCATTGAATAACCCAATTTAAAAAATGAGCAAGGAACCAGGTGCGGTGGCTCATGCCTGTAATCCCAGCATTTTGGGAGGCTGAGGTGGGTGGATAGCTTGAGGCCAAGAGTTTGAGACCAGCCTGGGCAACATGGTGAAATCCTGTCTCTACCAAAATTACAAAAATTAGCCAAGAGTAGTGGTGCGTGCCTGTAATCCCAGCTACCGGGGAAGCTAAGGCAGAAGAATCGCTTGAACCCAGGAAGTGGAGGTTGCATTGAACTGAGATCACACCACTGCACTCCAGCCTGGGCGACAGAGAGAGACTCTGCCTCAAAAAAAAAAAAAAAAAAAAAAAGGCAAGGGACCTGAATACAAATTTTGCCAAAGAAGAGACATAAATGACCAACAGGTATATGTAAATATGTTCAGCAACTCTAATCATCTAAGAAGTGCAAATTAAAACCACAATGGGACATCACTTCATACCTGTTAAGATGGTCATTATCAAAAATAATAATTTTAAAAACAAAAACATGGAGAAGTTGGAACACTTGTGCACTGTTGGTGGGAATGTAAAATGGTGTAGTCATTATGGAAAATAATATCAAGTTTCCTCAAAAAATTAAAAATGGAACTACCATACAACCCAGCAATCCCACTTCTAAATATTTATCCAAAAGGATTGAAAACAGGATCTCAAAGAAATATTTTCACACCCATGTTCACTGCATTATTACTCACAGTAGCACAGAGGTGGAAACATTAATGAATAATTTGATAAAGTGTGGTATATACATACAATGAAATATCATTCAACCTTTAAAAAGAAAGAAATCCTGCCATATGCTACAACATGGATGAAGCTTGAGGACATTATGCTGAGTGAAATAAGCCAGGCACAGAAGGACAAATGTTTCATTATTTCACTTATAGGCAGTATATAAAATAGTCCACCTCATAGAAGCAGAAAGTCAAATGGGGAATGCTAGGGGCTGAGATGAGGGAGAAATGAGGAGTTATTGTTCAAAAGGTAGAGTTCTGGTTATGCAAATTTAAAAAGTTCTAGAGATCTGCTTCACAACAATGTACATCCTTTAACCATACTATACTGTACACTTCAAAATTTGTTAAGAGCATAGATAATGTAGGGTTTTTTTAAACCACAATTTAAAAAAGAAAAAAAAATTGCTAAGCCCATTACCAGGTCACCAAACTGAGTATTGTTCCATCTCATAATTTCAACCCATGTTGAAATTTTTCTGGTCCTTGAGAACACCCATGTTGGTCTCACCACTGGGTATCAGGATTTTGACAATGGTGTTAGGATTCACTGGGCTCCCTCTTCATCAAGGGTGCACAAACTCATCTTTCAGGGAATAATTCATTCCACAGGAGGGGACACCAATGGGTAGAAGCTTATGTGAAAGTATGAAAATTGACTCCCAGCTTCTGCTCTAAGTTGGAACCAAGCTGCCTAATAAAAGGAAGCGCTAGACTTTCACCTCAGCCTTTTCATGATGTTTCATGTTGGCCAGGAACACAGGCTCTGGGCTGTGGAATCGAGGGCGAGGCATGGCTTTCTGCTTCCAAACTATGTGACCTGAGCAAGTGACTTCACCTTGCTAAACCTCAGTTTCCTCATCTGTCAAACAATGACAATAATAACTACCATACAGGACAGTTGGGGACATTCAGTGACGTGATGTAAACAAGGCATTTAACACATCTGGTAGGCAATCACTAATCACTAATCAGGTTGCTAATCATTGTTGGCTGCAGGCTGCAACTATTGTGATTATCATGCTATCCTGTGGTTGAATATGTTTTACACAACTCTAGGCTGTCATAGCTTATGCATTCTGTGTCCAAGGCAGACACTGAAAGTGATGCCCATAATGTATCAAAGGGTTTAAACTGACTTCTGCTAGTATGAGTCTGTGGCTCTGAGCAATTTGCATAGCATTGTCCTTCAGGAACAAGTTCCAGAGCCAGGAGTAGAGGTGACCACTTTTTAATAGTTCATCCAACAATATTTACTGAGCCTGTGGTGCAGCAGTGAGTGCCTCTTAAGATGGAACATGACTTCCTCACTTTAGTGCAGTCCCCAATCCAGCCCAGCATACTTATTCTCCACTTGCCTGTCTACTATAAGCATTTTCAATGACTTCTGACCTAAGTTGTATTTTCTTCAATGCTTTTAAAGAGGTATGCTTTTCCCCAAATCCTTGAATAATACACATAAATGATGCTTCATGGTTTTATGTATTCCTGGTATTCTATATACACCCACTGGGAGTTCACATATCTCAGTTTGAAGGCGCAGCTAAAGGCAATTTTCTGTCTGCACAATTGACTCTGATAAGAGATACATGGTACTCTTCCTTCTAGGGAATACAAAGGAATCCCAATTTTCAACAACAGAAAAGAATTCAAGGGACTGTCGTTTCCCAGGTCACTGTAAGAAAGAGTTTTAAAACTATAAAGCTAATCCTCACCCCAAAAAAATCTCAAATCAGGTGATTTTTAAAATTTCAAATCCATCCTAAACATGTGTCAACTCTTTACTATCAGTCCACTCCTAAATGATGACAAAGTAAAGCTTTCAACTTTTAATGGCTTTTTGTTTTTGATATTCCTTTTCTTTCTCCTTAACCCAAATCACATCTTGCTTGGCAAAGACTTTTTATTATTTTTTATTTTCTTGATTCATAGGTCCTTAATGAAAGCAAAATTCAACCTTATATTGGTCTTGTATGAATTAGGGACCATGTAAACAGTACTTAACAGTTCTAATTGAAGGTCAGTAAATCCCCAAGAGATTAAATGAATCCTGCAGGGAGCCGTGTAAATCTCCCTCTCTTTTATGGCAGAACAGCCAAGCCCCCAGACTGCCTTGTGCAAGGCTTAATAAATATGGTATGCATCTAATCAAAACCATTTTGCACCCAAAGAGGTTAGGGGTGTAAATCACAATTACTCTTGGCACTAAACCCTTGGCCCAGAGAGGCCCAAGGTTGCCAAATACCATCAGGAGCTGACTTCTAGGACTTAGCTAGCTGTCTGGCATGGGTTTCCTGAGTGTCCAGCCTGCTTCTCAGCAGGGGAATCCAGATGGGAGTATAAAACCTGAAAAGGATAGTAATTTCAAATGACCCTCTTGCTCTCTCTGGTTTCTTTACTCCTTGCCAGCTCTGGCTTGATCAAAAAGAAATTATAAATTCATAGATGTCAATGCCTAGATCTGCCCTTGAAGTGCCATGAATTCATTCATCATGTCCAGACATGCACCATTTTAAAAGAAAATGGTGTAAAGTCCGAAGTACTTAGCTGTAAAAATCCCAAGTGAAGAGCACACTTAAACTCATGAATGTCAAGAAGGGGACCTGAGCTTTTGTACTTGCATCTGAATATCCAAATGAGGATCATGTTAGTCTCCAGCACAGCTGGACATTACAGTTACCCATGAATAAGAGGACATAATGAAGGAAATTGTAAGAACAAAACGTGGTCTGTGATCTTGGGAACTGGAGGAACCAGAGCCAGAGCAACTGTTCAAGAATTTTTCAAAAATTCAGAGTGAGCACCATCCTAGATCTGTTACATCCATTAAGTCTGATCCTTGGATCATCCCTTTCAGTAGGCATTCTTCTCTTCTTTTCACACATAGATAAACTGAGGCTCAGAGAAGAGAAATCACATCTTCAATTCACTCAACTAGTTCAAAGCCTGGGGTTCAAAGCCAGGTCGGTCCACTCCAACTCCAGAGACTCTTCCCTGTCCTTCTGACATGCTGTTTCTTATAAGAACAGGACAAGAAACATACTCAGACCATCTCCAGAAAGGCTCATGCGAAACGGAAGCGATATCCAACTTCTTTTTTTTTTTTAATTATTATACTTTCAGTTTTAGGGTACATGTGCACAACGTGCAGGTTTGTTACATATGTATACATGTGCCATGTTGGTGTGCTGCACCCATTAACTCATCATTTAGCATTAGGTATATCTCCAAATGCTATCCCTTCCCCCTCCCCCCACCCCACAACAGTCCCCGGTGTCTGATGTTCCCCTTCCTGTGTCCATGTCAAAAAAAGGCAGGGGTTGCAATCCTAGTCTCTGATAAAACAGACTTTAAACCAACAAAGATCAAAAGAGACAAAGAAGGCCATTACATAATGGTAAAGGGATCAATTCAACAAGAAGAGCTAACTATCCTAAATATATATGCACCCAATACAGGAGCATCCGGATTCATAAAGCAAGTCCTTAGTGACCTACAAAGAGACTTAGACTGCCACACAATAATAATGGGAGACTTTAACACCCCACTGTCAACATTAGACAGATCAACGAGACAGAAAGTTAAGAAGGATACCCAGGAATTGAACTCAGCTCTGCACCAAGCAGACCTAATAGACATCTACAGAACTCTCCATACCAAATCAACAGAATATACATTCTTTTCAGCACCACACCACACCTACTCCAAAATTGACCACATAGTTGGAAGTAAAGCACTCCTCAGCAAATGTAAAAGAACAGAAATTATAACAAACTGTCTCTCAGGCCACAGTGCAATCAAACTAGAACTCAGGATTAAGAAACTCACTCAACCGCTCAACTACATGGAAACTGAACAACCGGCTCCTGAATGACTACTGGGTAAATAATGAAATGAAGGCAGAAATAAAGATGTTCTTTGAAATCAACGAGAACAAAGACACAACATACCAGAATCTCTGGGACACATTCAAAGCAGTGTGTAGAGGGAAATTTATAGCACTAAATGCCCACAAGAGAAAGCAGGAAAGATCTAAAACTGACACCCTAACATCACAATTAAAAGAACTAGAAAAGCAAGAGCAAACACATTCAAAAGCTAGCAGAGGGCAAGAAATAACTAAGATCAGAGCAGAACTGAAGGAAATAGAGAGACACAAAAAACCCTTCAAAAAATTAATGAATCCAGGAGCTAGTTTTTTGAAAAGATCAACAAAATTGATAGACCGCTAGCAAGACTAATAAAGAAGAAAAGAGAGAAGAATCAAATAGACGCGATATCCAACTTCTAAGGAATAGCTCTTCAAAGGCAGAGGACAAAGCCAAGAAAGAGAGCTTTAGAATAAGACCAAGTAGCTCAGCAATGTCCACTAGTCAGGACTCTAAGTCCTTCTCAAGATATGCTTCAAGGGCTACTACCAATCAGGGTGGCCCTTGGAATAATGCCTATTTACCATCCCAGATGTAGCCACCAAATGGAGATCAGAGAGGATGTTCATTTCCATTTTGGCAAGTTGTTGCCCTGGCCATGAGCCCCCTGGCCATGCTGAATAGGAGCTCTCTACTCCCCTTCTTGATGTCTAACCTGAAAGTTGCTTAACGTGTTCCTGGATGACCCTGGATTTCCTCTGAAGTGGCCTCCCATGACTTGGAGCCGTATCTTCTCTTCTTCACATAAATTGTCCCTAATGACCTTGGAGCCCACTGGCAATGGCTTCTTTCTTCAGTACCTTGGAACTCACTCACATGTATGGCCACATCTTTCATTTTATACTCTTTTCCCTTCCTCCTTCAGCACTTTTGGAGTAGCTAGCCTTTGAGTGCTTTATTGGTACATGAATGCGTCACTCTGGTTCACCAGGATGAAGAACTCTCAGGCTGCCGTAGAGAAAAGAGGGTTTATTTTCAGGTGAATGGAAACTTCAGGTTTACCAATAGAAACCTAACAGAGCCCTGGTTTTATCCAGGTATCCACTCCATCCTCATCTCCAAAGGTGGAAGTGGCTTGGTCTAAATCAATAAGCATCTTTTATTAGTTCAGGAGTAGCACATTATCTAAGCTGGATCAATCTAACTGGTGTGAAGAACTTTTTTTGCATGTGAGTATAGAACAGTTACTTCTCTCTCAACCTCTACTACCAGGTGTGACCAAGGAAGCCCACTGTGCTGTGGCTGTTGGTTGTCATGTTGTGACCATGTGGAGAACCAGCCAGCCTGAGGATGAAGCTACAGATAAAGATGATGGAGTAAATAAATCACTGAGTTCAATAGACATCATTGAGTTGCTCACCAATCCATGCCTGGAGTCCCCTCTACCTCTGGACTCCTATGACATGACTATACAACTTTAGTTATTGCCTTAGTTTGAGTGGGAGTTCTTTGTTACTCCCAGCCAAAAGCATCCTAACTGATATTTAAGCATCCTTATGGTCAGAAGTGAGAACTGAAAGAGATTTCACGGCTCAAGAACTGGCCACTCCCTCTGCCTCTTCCTCCCTCAGAACCTGCCTACTCCATTCTCCTCTCTCCCCCATCCCTTTTGACTCCCAAATGCTCTCCACAGTCCCCATCTAAGTTTAGCCTTCAATAGGCCATTTTTGCTGTAGGTCACTCCATCAGCCCTCAGCCAGCCTATGTTTAGATCACCATTGATCAGAGACTGCAAGCTACCTCTCAGAAACCATCCCTCCCTCTTCCTTTAGTAATATAACCCACACATTTTAGCTGGGCACATGGCCACCCACAAAAAAAAAATAAAAATAAAAAATAAAAGTAAACATAAAAAAATAAAAATAAAAACGTTTATTTTTTCACCTTCCTTTCCTTTGAATCTAAGTCATGGACATTGTAACTAGGTTCTGACCAATGGGAAGTTAAGTGATTGGTCATACCCTAAAGGGAAGAACCTGCCTTCTACACCTTCTTTCTCCCATTCCATTGCATAGAACGCAGAGTCAATGGCTGGAACTAGAGGAGCCATCTTAGATCACAAGATGGACGCCAGGTGCTAATATAGACAAATGAGACAGAAGGAGCTAGGGACTGGAACCTGTCACTGTGTGATAGACGTGCCAAATGGGCTGCTTATGCTTGATCTGTTACAAAAAATAGAAATCAGCTTCTCAGTTTCCTTAGGTCGCTATTATTTTGCCCTTTGTTGTACTTGCTAGGCCTTATCCTAATTAATATTCCACCTTTAATCAATTAGTGACAACCCCTGTGCAAAGACCAGCCTGTGTCTGCTCACCTCACAGGGAGCTAAAGACAGGGTAGTTTTAGTGATAGAAGGGTATTGGGTGTGTCAGAAATCTGTCCAACATGTCTAATACTGTGAGGAGTAGCCTTTTCTCACTCTGATTTCATTATCTTTCTCTTTGCTTCTATATGACTCTTCTCCAACCATAGGGGTGTCATCCATCTCTCTCTCTCCCTCTCTCTCTCTCTCTCTTTTATTCTTCCTGCTAATTTGTGTTTATCCTTTCTTCTTTCACTGTCTTTACCCTTTTCACTCAGCCATATTTGTAACCCAAATAAACCCATAATCCCATGTGGCCCAGTTTCTAAAGTCAGAAAACAAAGTAAAAGTATCCGAATCTCTACTTGCTCTCTCAAGAAAACCTCAAGCAAGGAGGAGATGGTATGTTGAGAATGTACAATAAACATCTTTCGAATTCTGTCCCCATTTTTTTTCTCTCTCAATACCCTCCATTCAGATGTCAACCTCACCGAGGGAAACCTTCTCTCTCCCCTTTTTAAATACCAGTCTCTGAAACTCTGCCTTCACAGGCTTTCTGTTGTTTTTCCTCTTAGCTAATCTTGAGGATTTCTGTTATGTAGATTACAAATCCTTTATGACTTCTTTGTTTCTTCATTTCACCCATTATCCAGATTCTCCACAGCCCTGGAGAGTCCAGGGTTTAATTTAGCAATTGATTCGGAAAGGGGAAAGTGAACATTATGACTAGTCATACACTAATACTTTTGTTCATGTGAGGTGTTTGCCTTACGTCTGGTTCTCTTGGAGAGAGATTTGCATACGGGGCTTCATTGGGAAGCGTTCACAGGAGTCACACAAGGAAGTCAGTGAGGGAAACAGGATTGGGCCCAGGGAGAACTTGGGCTGTGATGCAATTGTACTAAAGGTCTCAGTCAATCCTATATGGAGCTTAAGAGCTGGGATGGCCCATCAGAGCTGCTTTGAATAGTCACTGCATGTAGCTTTCCCCCAGAGACTGAGCAAGCCACTTCCTTCACTCAAGGGCAGTTCCTGCAGAGGGACTTAGCTGTGAGCCATAAACATCAAATACTCTCTGGAGTTCAGAGAATGAGTCCTGTGGTTCTGAAGGTGGGTGGGGGGGTGGCATTGGGTGGCACACTACAGCATCCACTACAATCTTCACTTATTCATTCAACAAATACTTACTGTGCACCTACCCTGTGATAGAAGATGTACACCTTTCTCTAACTTGCCCTGCTTTCAACCCTTTCCCTGCTGCCATCCCTTCCTTGTTCCTTCCTCCTCCATCTCCCTCTCCACCCACTACGGTTTGCCTGGAGCTAGAGCTTCAAGAATGGGCTGGCGCCTTAATTGCTTCTCTCTCCTCTGTGACATCAATTGGAGGTGACATTTCCCGGGCACGGAGCTGCATCCCTGTGGCTGCATATTCCCCCTGTCACAGGAGATCACCGAAGCTGTCACAAGTGGAAAGCTAGAAGCCATCGGAGGAGCAGGGGGGCACAGAGATCCCAGGCAGCATTCAAAGGGTTGGTGAGACACACTTCCCAGAGCTGGTTCCAGAGGCACTTTCTGCCCCGCTGATCTCTGCCTGGGGAGAGTCGATGGGATCTGACATTTCAGGGGTTACCCGACTGAGCTACGCCAACCAGGTCTCTCACCCAAAGCAAGGGGAAAAGGGCTGGATCCTGGGTGGCAAGCCAGTCCCCAAGGAAAGAATGGAGCGATGCAAATGAGAAAAAGGAACTCAAGCAGAAAGGCTCTTTTGCGGCTTCTAGTGGCAAGCCGACCTGCATTTGCTTGTTCTGTCCCTTAGAGATGCCTCAGTTTCCTCAGCCATAAAATGGGCTGTTGTGAGGATTAAATATGAAGTATAAAAATCTGTTGGATCAAGTAAGCCAAAAACATAGGGGCATTTAAAAAATTTCCTTCTTTTGATTCCTCCAGTTTCCCTGGTTACCTGTAGCCAGTCCATCAGCAAACTGTGTCAGCTTCATCTCCAAAATATGTCCCAAAAATGACCACCGGCCCCACCTTCACTGCTCCCAAGCCACTATCACCCACTGCCGGGACAATTTCACTCGGCGCCCACATAGTCTTTCTGCTTCCATTCTTGCCTTTCCACAGTCTATTCTCCACACAGCAGTCAGGACTAGTTTGCAAAACAGAAATCAGGTCACATCATTCCCCTGTTTAACATCCTTCAGGAGGCTTTCTCTGTACGTGAAACAAAAAGGCCCTTCATTTTCTGGCCCTGACCCCTCTCCAACCTAACTTCTTTCCTTCGTTCACTAAGCTTCAACCCCCATCCCCAACCCCACTGCCTTTGTCGAACATGACAAGTTTGTTCCCATGTCAGAGCCTTTGTATGTGCTATTCCCTGTGCCTGGACTGCTCTTCCCCTGAGCTCACTGGATTGAATGCTTTGGCAACTTCAGATCTCTGCTCAGATGTCAACTCTTCAAGGAGGTCATCCATGAGTGCACAACAGTGCCATCCTTTTCTTTTTTGCTTTTTTTTTTTTTTTTTTTTGGCAGAGTCTTGCTTTGCTCTGTCAGCCAGGCTGTAGTGCTGTGGTGCAATCACAGCTCACTGCAGCCTCAACCTCCTGGGCTCAAGCAATCCTCCCACCTCAGCCTCCCGAGTAGCTGGAACTATAGGCACGTACAACTGTGCTCTGCTAACTGTTTTATGTTTTGTAGAGATGGGTTCTCACTATGTTACCCAAGCTGGTCTTGAACTACTGGGCTCAAGGGATCCTCCTGCCTTGGTTTCCCAAAGTGCTGGGATTACAAGCATGAGCCACCATACCTGGCCTCCAGTACCATCCTTGATTGAGTTCTCCTCCCCTCTCCTCCCCCTCCTCTGCCTCTTCTCTTCTTCCTCTTCTCTTTCTCCTCTCCTCTCTTCTCTCTTCTTTTGTCTCTCCTGTCTTCTCTTCTCTTCTTTCTCTCTCCTTTCTTCTCTCCTCTCCTCTCTTTCTCTCTTGTCTCTCCTCTCCTCTCTTTTCTTCTCCTCTCTCCTTTCTCTCTCCTTTCTCCTCTCCTCTTCTCTTCTCTCTTCCCCCTTACCCCACAGCTACTATTTAGTTTCGGCATCTCATCCCTGCCAATATTTTCTGGCCCACGGTCACTTCTCTGAGCTCTGTCCACCTGCAATCTGCATGTCTCATGCACCGCTGTATTCCTCAAACCTAGCACAGTGCTCGGGACTGAGTAGATGCTTGAAAAATATTTGTTGGGCATGTGAAGAATGCATGTGGCTGGCACATGGTAAATAGACTGTAACCATCTCACAACTGTCACTACTAGAAAGAGGAAGTCTTCTAGTCTGGTGCCAAATCTTAAGGCATCTATAGGTGTGCCTGTGTCAGTGCCACCCTTAATGGAGATGAAACTGGCAGCTGGAAATGTCTTGTTCCACCCTCAACAGCTTCCCAGAGCTGCTTTTAAAATTATTATTCAGACTGACAAAGGCCAAACGGGTGCTGGGAATATCCCAATCCATCTCAACTTCAGTTTGTCACCCAAGATTCGTGAGCTCGCAGAGCTCGAAGTGCCCCAGAGACTGTCCAGTCCAGGCCTCTCATTTTTCAGATGGGAATATTGACACTCAGAGAAGTTAATCACATCACTGATTCTTTAATACAGGAGCCACTGTTCTGGACCTGTCACCCTCGGCTGGGCTCTGGCTCTTGCTCTCCTGTTCTTTGCTTGGCTATCTTCATGACTGGCTTTTCATACGCCATTCTTGTGAGAGCTTAAATGTCAGTCCCATCGGGAATGACTTTTTGCGCCCTCCCATGGATTTCTCATAAACTCCATTCTATGAGTGTCTTTTTCATGTTTGAGGAATTGCTTACCTAATTATCCACCCTCCCTTCCCAATAGATTCAACTCCATGACGACAAGAAGACATCTGCCTTAGGCACCATTGTATTCTCAGCACCCACACATAGTAGGTGTTCCACAAACACACGCTGGGTGAAAACAAGCGTAAGCCTGCATTGCAATGGGAAAATTTCTAATTTCTCAAATCATTTGTTCATGGGTGCAAGACAAGTCTACTTTCAAGTCTTGCTTCTCCCACGCTGCATTTCCTTAGCTCTCCTGGCATCAGCTGGATTTTATTATTAATAATAAAAACAGCCTATGATTTATGAGGCACCATGGAGCCCAGGCTGACTAGTGAGCTTACACTTTGCACATAAAAATCAAGCCTGCTACCTGAACCCCAGTGTCTCACAAGTAAGGGAAAAACGAACTAAATTAGGCATTTGTGGACCAAGATGCTTTGGTTTCCTTCTGCCAGCAGGACCCGCTCAGCTTCAGTGGGTGAGCAAGTTCCTCCTGCCATGCCCCTGCTCTCCTCTCCAGGCTACCATCCCAGGTTTGCCAAGGACAAGTCTCTGGAACCTGTGGGTATTCCCATAAGCCAGAAAATCACAGCACTGGGAGCTAGAGAGAGACCTCAAAGATGAACTAGATTAGAGGTCACTTTTGGCCTGCAGGATTGCTTTGCTTGGCCCATGTCATGCTGTAATAAATTTGAATCCATGGCGGATATTCAAAAATTTGATTTTACATAAAAATCTCAATTTCTCTCTTCTCTTGAAAATTAAACTCTGGCGACATTGGGCTGGAATTCCTGTCTGGCAATAATTTTCAGGAGCTGAGTGATGGCTGTGTGCTTTAGGGGGACCAGGGCCCCCCATTTTCCCCAGGTACCATTTCTCCTTGGTATGCTACCACCCTAGGCTCACTTCACTCATTTGCATGAATTGCCTGGCTTGGAAGAGCTTACCACCCATGAAGAGCCAGTTTTTCATCTCATAGATAGGGACACTAAGGTTTTCAAGGGAAAATTGAGTTATCTGAGATCACCCACAAGTTAATGACAGAGCAAGGCCGAGAACCCAGGTCTCCTGGCCTTTAATCTAGGACTCTTGACCCCAGATTGCACTTGCAATGATGCTCCTGGTCAGGCCACTCTATTAATTTCCTAGGGCTATTGTAATGTTACCATGAACTAGGTGGCTTACGACAACAGAAACTTATTCTCTCAGTTCTGGAGGCAAGAAGTCCAAAATCAAGGTTTCAGCAGGGTCACACCCCCTCTGAAAGCTATAGGGGAGAATCCTTCCTTCCTTGCCTTTTCCAGTTTCCACCTGCCACCTGGTAGCTCCAGGTGTTCCTTGGCTTGTGGCTGCATCACTCCAATCTCTGTTTCCATCTTAATGCCCTTCTCTCTGTTTCTCTGTGTGTTTGTGTGTCTGTCTGTCTAATCAACCTCTGCCTCACTCTTCTAAGGGCACTTGTCATTGAAATTAGGGCACAAGGTACTCCAAGATAATATCATCTGGAGATCTTTAATTTATGTCTGCAAAGACACTTTTTCCAAATAAGGTCACATTCACAGGTTCTGGGGGTTAGGACATGGACATATCTTTTTGCAGGCCACTATTCAACCCACTACAGCCACTAAGCCAAAAGAGTTCTGTAAAGGAGCCCCCATGGAAAAGAACTCAGCCTAGAATAAATTTTAATTGGCCAGCAGTTCCAGTGCATGCCATTCTGAGACCTTGGGTTGCATAAGAAGCTACAGGACAAACACGGAAGTTCCAAATAACCCTCACAGTGACCTCCCAGAAGGAAAGACATCTGAGAAAGAAGACATAGTAATAATAACTACCATTATTTATATTACAATAATAATCATGATGATAATAACAGCAACAGTAATAATAGATATAGGCATTATTTCATTTAAACTTCTCAAAAACACAATGAGAAAATGAGTATCATTGCCCTTATTACCTGAATGAGGAAACTGGAGGCTCAGAGAGGTTAGAGCACTTGACCAAGGTATCACTGCAAGTCAGTGGTAGAACCAGGATCTAACCCAGGTCATTCTGACTCCAAATAATGCTTTTTATCAGCACCTGACCTAAACATGGACCTAAGTCGTAGGGAGTAGAGAGGTGTCCAAATGTGCACACACAGACTGAATCCCATCATCCTGGACCTGCCTTTAAAATGTTTTCTACATCAGCCTCCAGTCATTAAAAATCAGTTCCTTCCAAGAAAATGGTATTTTTATGCTGGTGCACTTAACATCCTTTGGGAGGCAAGGTCACTTGGGATGGGAGGCCTTAAACTCCAATGGTGGCGAAGAAATCATGCAAAAGTGTATTAGCCCTTCAAGAACCCAGACTGCATGTGTGACATCAAATGAATTTCTCACCTGCCTGGCATCTGCCATTTTCAAGAAAAGGCCAGAGGTCATCCTTGAAGTTGCTGGGAGTCTTTACACCCTGGGTTCTTAACTACTCAAAGTGTTCTGGACTTCCCCTAAAATATCTGTGTTCTTCACAGCTTTTGGTTCTGTGATCCAGGAGCCATGACCTATAAACTCCTCATCCTCTTTAATTATTTAATCAGATCTTTTAAAACATGACAAAAGGATTCCTACCCAAGAAAATGATAAATGAAAGGATGCACATAGCCAAGGGGTTTGAAGATAAAGGCAGGGCACATGAGGGCACACCTTCAAATTAAACAAATGAAATTTCAAGAAAGGACAGAGATAATGAAGAAGACAAAATTGTCGAAGAAATAATAAAATATTTAAAGCCTCTCATTCACAAATCTTCAGATTGAAAGGATCTACTAAATGCCCAGTCCACAAATTTAAAAATACCTATTCCTAAATGCATTGCCATAAAATTTCAGAACACTAAGCATAAAGAGAATACCTCTAAAGAGATACTAAAAAGGAGTGGGAAGTTACCATAATATAAACTTTTAGTATCTCTTTATCTAAAAATGTAAACTGTGGCACTAATATAAAGAAAATAGACACATCAATAAACAAATTTAAAAGCCAGATGGTTTGATAAAAGTTATTAGGACGCTTCATTACTATTAGGTTACACTATTAGGAAAAATTAATAATAGGCTTAACTAAGAAGCTAACACTTGATTAGACTAAGCTTGTGTCAGGCACTAAACTTTATATGACTTAACTAAATTAATCATCTCACTCACTGTATGAAGTAGCATTATTATTACCAGGTTAGAGATAGAAAACTGAACCATAGAGAGGTTAAGTGGCTTCGGTAAGGTCAGACAGCTAAATTACAGGTGGACTAAACAGTTCATATGAATAATCTAAATATGAACAAAGTTCCTATTAATGGGAAAGATCAAGCATAAAGTCAGTGGCAAAGACCATAATGTGGAATATTAATGAATACGACTATATGAAGAAATCAAAACCCATCCGATCATCATAAAGCAAAGCCAAGCGGCAACAACAACAACAACAAACCATCAGTTAAGGTGGAAAAAAACTTAGAAAATTGAGGGACTATATTTGTAAGTTATGATAGTGATAAGCTTTGGCTGTGTCCCCACCCAAATCTCAACTTGAATTGTATCTCCCAGAATTCCCAAGTCCCAAGCCTAAGGACTTGCTTCCCTTTGTCCCAGCTGCTCCACTCGTGGCTGAAAGGGGACAATGTAGAGCTTAGGCTGTGGTTTCAGAGGGTGGAAGCCCCAAGGCTTGGCGGCTTCAACATGGTGTTGAGCCTGTGGGTGCACAGAAGTCAAGAATTGAGGTTTTGGAACCTCTGCCTAGATTTCAGAAGATGTATGGAAAGGCCTGGATGCCCAGGCAAAAGTTTGCTGAAGGGGCGGGGCCCTCATTGAGAACCTCTGCTAGGGCAGTGCAGAAGGGAAATGTGGGGTTGGAGCACCCACACAGAGTCCCTACTAGGGTACTGCCTAGCAGAGCTGTGAGAAGAGGGCCATCGTCCTCCAGACCCCAGAATGGTAGATCCACCAACAGTTTGCACCACGTGCTTGGAAAAGCTGCAGACACTCTGTGCCAGCACTTGAAAGCAGATAGGAGGGAGGCTGTACCCTGCAAAGCTACAGGGGCAAAGCTGCCCAAGACCATGGGAACCCCACCTTTTACATCAGCGTAACCTGAATGTGAAACCTGGAGTCAAAGGGACATCATTTTGGAGCTTTAAAATTTGACTGCCCTGCTGGATTTTGGACTTGCATGGGCCCAGTAACCCCTTTGTTTTGGCCAATTTCTCCCATTTGGAATGGCTGTATTTACCTAATACTTGTACCCCCATTGTATCTAGAAAGTAACTAGCTTCCTTTTGACTTTACAGGCTCATAGGTGAAAGGGATTTGCCTTGTCTCAGATGAGACTTTGAGCTGTGGACTTTTGGCTTAACACTGAAATAAGACTTTGGGGTACTGTTGGGAAGGCATGATTGGTTTTGAAATGTGAGGACATGAGGTTTGGAGGGACCAGGGGCAGAATGATATGGTTTGGCTGTGTCCCCACCAAAATCTCAACTTGAAATTTATCTCCCCGAATTCCCAAGTGTTGTGGGAGGGACACAGGGGGAGGTAATTGAATCACAAGGGCTGGTCTTTCCTGTGCTATTCTCATGATAGTGAATAAGTCTCATGAGATCTGATGGGTTTAGTAGGGGTTTCTGCTGTTGCTTCTTCCTCATTTTTCTCTTGCTGCCGCCATGTAAGAAGTGCCTTTTGCCTCCTGCCATGTTTCTGAGGCCTCCCCAGCCATATAGAGCTGTAAGTCCGATTAAACCTCTTTTTGCTCCCAGTTTCAGGTATGTCTCTATCAGCAGCATGAAAATAAACTAATACAGATAGCAAAGGTTTAATTTAAAAGGCCTAAGCTATAACGATCTCTATAAATCAGTAAAAAGGGTAGACACACTAACAAGTCAGAAAGTACATCAACCAATCAATTCATGAAAGCAAAACTATAAAAGCTAAAAAGCATATGAAAAAAGTTAAACTATTGTAAATAAAGAAATGCAACGAAAATATATATATATTTTCTTCTCAAAATTGTCAAAGATTTAGGTCTGATAATGGCTAGCAATAGGGAAGGGCAGAGCATGTGGTCTTCTCCCATACTACTAGTAGGAGTATGAACTAGTATAACAAATGTGAATTGGCTAACCTCACAGTGGCAATTTAGCAAATACTTTTACCAATCAAGTCATCAGTTCCTCTCCTAAAACTTTAACCTAAGGAAAGAATCAAAGACACACAGATTTATGTCTAAGATCATCATTGCAGAATTACAGGTAAAATAGAAAGAACTTAAACATCCAACAACAAAGATCCAATTAAATAAAGTTATATGTAATTTTACAATGGATTATTCTTCAACTGTGAATGTCATGTCTTTGAAAAATTTGTAAAATATTTCAAGATCAGAGAAGTTAGAAAATAATATGTTGCTAAATGAAAAAAAAATATGGATGGTATTAATTATAATTCCATGTTGGTGTGTATGTATGTGTGCATGTGTGTGTGTAAATGTGTGTGTCCAAAGAAAGAAAAACTAAAATGATATAAAGTCAAACATTACCAATATAACAGTAATTATCTCTAAGAGTTGGGATTAGGTGTTTATTCGTCTTCGTGCTTTTCTACATTTGCCAAATTTTCTTCAATGAACATGTAGGTAGTTGTCATTCCTACTGACCATATATTTTTAGCTCCCCAGCTTCTAGGCACATAGGAAGAGTCCACTTTCTGGCCTCCTTCTGTTTGGGTAAGGCCATGTGACTAGTTTTGGCCAATGAGTTGTGAGTATAAATGTCATGTGTCACTTCTGAGCTGTAGCATTTAAATGACATGCTATCTTACATGGCAAGCAGAGAAGAATTTATTGCCCCAAGGTGGACATATAGTATAAAAGAAAAATAAACATATTTGTCTTTGTTTGCTTTCAAGATCACTGAGATTTGGGAGTTGTTTGTTACCACAGCACAACCTAGCTTACCCTGACTGAAAAAAAAAAGTGTTTTGTTTTTGTTTTTTTTGAGACAGAGTCTTACTCTGTCACCCAGGCTGGAGTGCAGTGGTGCAATCTTGCCTCATTGCAACCTCCACCTCTTGGGCTCAAGTGATTCTTGTGCCTCAGCCTACTAAGTAGCTGGGATTATAGGCACATGCCACCACGCCTGGCTAATTTTTGTATTTTTAATAAAGACGGGGTTTCACCATGTTGGCCAGGTTGGTCTCGAACTCCTGACCTCAAGAGATCCACCCACCTCAGCCTCCCAAAGTGCTGGGACTACAGGTATGAGCCACTGTGCCTGGCCATGTGTTGTTTTTACATACAAAAAAAGAGGAATATTCCAATAAGAACAATTTATGCACTGCTGATCTTAAAGACACCTTAGGCGCCAGGTGCAGAGGTTCATGCCTGTAATCCTAGCACTTTAGGAGGCCAAGGCAAGCAGATCACTTAAGCTCACGAGTTCCAGAACAGCCTGGGCAACATGGTAAAGCCCTGTCTCTACAACAAAATTACAAAAAATTAGCTGGGTGTGGTGGCATGCACCTGTAGTCCCAGCTTCTCAGGAGGCTGAGGTGGGAGAATCACCTGAGCCCAGGGAGCTGAGGCTGTAGTGCATTCTAGCCTGGGTGATGGAGTGAGGCCTTGTCTCAAAAAAAAAAAAAAAAAAAAAAAAAAAAAAGACACTTTAGGATCTTGAAACATTTAAATGTTTTCACTATAAAAGAAAAATTTTCCTTATCCCAGACTAACTGTTCATAAAGGTTCACCTGCTTAATATGCCTAGAATTCCTCCACTGAGGCTGGTATGGGTGGCAGTGCAGTACAGGGACAGCAGCCCCAGCTCTAAAGGGAAATGGGACCTGGGTTTGAAACCTTGTTGTGCCATTTACAAGTTGTGCAAACCTGAGCCAACACCTTCATCCCTCTGGGTCTCAGATCTTCACAGGCATATCTGGGGATCTGGTCCTCTCTGTAAGAATTGGTAAGAAGATGGAATGCTATGTACAAGGGATAACCACATAATTTGTTGTCCAAAGGGTGGCACTTTGAGAAGTGAATGTTATTACTCTTCTGGGACAATGGATGTACACAGTAAAACGTCTTGGGAAAACCTGGACATAAAGTCATCCTAGATCAGAAGTTCTCTATCTTGGTTGTACAATAGAATCACCTGGAAAACTCTGGCTCCCACCCTCAGAGATCTTCATGTAATTGATCTAGGGTATGCCTGGGCATTATGAATTTCAAAACTCTTTGAGTGACTCTGACATTCAGCCATAGTGGAGAACCACCATCCTTAACATACATGAAGCCAAGCTCATGGTGAGTTCTATCAGTGTTAATTGTCATTACTATTATTATCACATGTTATTATTACTGGAGAGAATGACATGTATAATGCTGAGCCTATTTTAAAGATTTTGTTAGCTATTACTATAATTAACAATCATAATTTTAAAAGAGAACATTCCAGTGGGTGGTATCTTGCCAATTACTATGGGCTTGGCTTAGAATAGTGGGATTTGATTGAGGTGATTTTGCCCCAGGAGATATCTAGCAATGACTGAAGACTTTTTTTTTTTTTTTAAGAACAAAGGTCTTACTCTGCTGCCAAGGTTGGAGTGCAGTGGCACAATCATGGCTCTCTGCAGCCTCAAATACAGGGGCTCAAGCAATCCTCCTTCCTCAGCCCCCTGAGTAACTGGGACCACAGACACGTGCTGCTATATGCAGCTATTTTTTAAATGTATTTAGGTATTTTTTATTATTATTAATTTTTTTACAGAAACAAGATCTTTCTATGCCCCCAGGCTGGTCTCAAACTCCTGGCCTCAAGCAATCCTCCCACCTTGGCCTCTCCAAGTGCTGGGATTACAGGTGTGAGCCACATGCCCAGCTTGGAGACATTTTTTAATTGTCAAAATTGGCAGGTATAGGGAGAGTGACGCTCCTGGCATCTAGAGAATAAAAATCAGTGATGCTGCTAAAAATCCTACAATTCCCAGGGCAGCACCCCACAACAAAGTATTATTACCTGGCCCCGAATGACAATAGCACCAAGAGAGAACCCTTGCTTTAGAAGTTGGAATAGAGAGAGACTCTTGAACTAAAAAGTCATGTCAGAAACTCAGGAACAGCCTTTGTAGTCTTGCCCTTGTGTTACCATTGCCCTTTGCCAGCTCTCAGAGGAGAAACAAGCCCCTGCGGCCTGTCCTGGGTTGCACGGTCAGCATCCCACTTAAAACTCCTCATGGATCCAGATCATCACACACCAGGTATGTACTCAAGATTGCCTTTCAACTTGGAGAAGCTCTTCAAAAGTCTTGGCATCCTCCAGTGCTGGAAGTGTTTATAAGAGACTTCCTCAGGAAAGAAAGGCCACGCAGGGAAAAGCAGAAACAGATTTCATTCTCTGGCTAACTTCCACCGGGCACCTCAAAGAGGTTCACTAGCACCTTAGTCATGGAAAAGGAACGTTTGAGAGAAGGGAAGGGGGAAAAGCTGAATTTGTGCCATTGCAAAGAGGCCTGCACTGAGGGTCAGGCCAGGCTGTGGTCTGCTGAAAGAGAAGGAAGGGAGGGAGAAAAGAAGCAAGGGAGCAAGGAGAGAGCAAGCAGGGGGAGGGAGGATAGATAGATGAATGAAAAGATAGATGACTGGGAGGGTAGATGGACTAATGTATGAATGGGTCAGTGGGGAGGTAGGCGAATAAATGAATGGATGGCTGCAAGGATGGATGGATGGATGGGTGGATGGATGCATGGAAAATTGAATGAGAGAAAGGAAGGAAAGATGAATGAATGAATCAATCAATCAATCAATCAATCAATAATATATGGGAGGGTGGATGGATATGTGGGTAGGTAGTTGATGAGTGGATGAATGGGTGGATTCATCTCAATCAAAGCCATTATATCTCCAGATAAGATTGCAAACTGGTGACTCCTTAGCTACATATGGCAGCTAGCATGCTTTTTTGCCTTTACTGGGCTCAATCAGTACTTTTACACAAGGCTGTTTGTCTTGGCTACACACTAGAATCACCTGGGAAACTTACAAAACTCCTGCTGCTCAGGTGCCATCTCCCATACCAGTCATATTCACCATCTCCGGGGATGGCACCCTGCATTAGTGTTTTCCAAAAATCCACACTTGATTCACATGGCAGCCAAGCTTGAGGATCAGTTTAAATTCAAAAGAAAATGAAACTAGGTTACTGTGCTTCATCAAAACACCTGTAGCTGCTTAACCCTTGTCTCATGGTCCTTTTCATCCATTGAAGTTACTTGCCTAGCCTTGGTATCTAAATTTGTCTCCACAAACTTTGATGTCAAACTTGGATTGATATCTGCCCCTGCCAAAAGACTATGTGACCTTGGTCAAGTGGTTTAGCTGCCCTATGCCTCAGTTTCTCCATCTACAAAATGGGACCCATGACAGTAAGGGTAAACAGCTTATAGAGTTTCACAAGAAGTAAATAAAATAATGTCTTACACTTTGTAAGCACTTGACCAGTGAGAACTACTATGACTGCTATTATGAATACAATACCTCTCAATTCATAGAGATCATTCCTAATCATGAATAGCATATATTGATCTGCCTTTTGTGCAAGGAATTATTTTAACAGATTTTATATGTATTAACTAATTTAATCCTTGTAAAACCTCAATGAGTTAGGTATTGTGATTATTCCCATTTTTCAGATGAGGAAACTGAGGCATAGAGAGGATGAGTCATTGCATATCAGACACTAGCTATGAATGAATAAATGGCTGCAAGGATTGATGAATGGGTGGATAGATGAATGGATAGGGATGGATGGATAGATGGACGGATGGGTGGATGAGTGGCTGGATGAGTGGTTGGATGGGTGGGTGGATGGTGGGTGGTTAGGTAATAAATTAAGTAAGAGAAAAGAAAGAATGATGAATCAATGAATGAATGAATGAACCAATGAATGATATATGGGAGGATGGATGGGTATGTGGGTGTCACCAGTTAGTCCTAGTGAAGTGGTGACTTGAGCCCATGTCTGGCTGTTGTTCCTAACCAAACTATTCTCTCCTCTTCACTTCACCACCTCTGCCTCACTGCATAGAACTCACACAGTCCACCCGTCACTGTTCCAGTGGGAAAGACAGTCTTACCACTAGATAGCTAAACGATGGCTATTTGTCCGACTTCAAATCCTGAGATCTCCCCTGCTGTGCTCTGTGTTGGTATCCTTTGAAGTGAACACAGACCCCTTATGTCTTTAAGGATTTCTCTAATTTTCAGAGCTTTCATTAACTTTTAAATGCTTCTAAGAGGTAGTCTCTAGTGAGAAGTCATTCATTCGTTCACTCATGCAAGGAATAGTTACGAAGCACACACTCTGTGCTAGATACTGTGCTGGGTTCTGAGGGCATATTGTGAGTGAAAAGGACGTATCCCTTCTCTTAGAGGAGGCTGGTGGTCGACCAGGAGTCAGTGGAACACGTTGCAAGGCTGGAATATGGACTGTAGGGGAGTGACTTGTAGAAATCCAAGAGCAGAGAGATAGTCCTCCAAAGCACCAGCCTTCTACTCTTGATCAACCACCCCTACATCACAACTACACCAGTATTCACCGCAACTCTGACATGTGGCACCTTCTGCTCAAGGCTGGCAGTCCCCACATAGGCCTCATACCCAATCCACTGCAGAGGGAAAGAAAGAGGGGTTCTCTGGCATCTTTATTTTTCCTTTAGGAAATGTATGAAATTTCCTTTACGAAATTGCCAAAACAACATAAAAGAAAAAAAGAAAAGAAAACCACCTTTAGTTGCACTACCAAACCTAACTGCCTTAGGGCCATTCCCTCCCAACCTTTGTTCACCGTATATTTGGTCTCACGGTGCTGGGGAAAAATCAAACACGCCAGATTTCTTTTGTCTTGAGATGTATCTGTTGTATCGATTTAGCAGTGTTACTTCCCTCTCCAAGCCTCTGGTTTCTCCTTTGCAGAACAGAGCCAATATTCTCTTCCTATCTTGCAGGAGTGTTTCATAGAAAGTTTGAAAGAAAATACGTATTTGTTCAATTTCTGGTGCATAGCAGGCATGCTATACATGCCTTCAGTTATTCCCAATTTTAGAGGTTTAGAGGAAAGCATAGCCAAGCCTGGGTCCACGTCCTAGTTTCTCTACTTGCCAGCTGTGGGACTTTGGGTGAAACAACCTCCCTGAGTCCCAAATTCCACATCTGTGTCCTGGGGATGACAGTGCCTATCTCCACATTATTGTGAGAACTAAATGAAATAAGCCTGGTATGCAATAGGCTCTTTAAAACTAGCAGGCGTTATTATGGTTGTTATTATTACTGTTAATATTATTTCACGCAAATATTTACATCTCAACATTTAATGCCAGCAAAAGAGCCATATATCATTCAAATCACCATGAACCGATCCAGGCCCTGGGGTCCTATGGCTCATTCAAGAGGGAGGACCTCTAAGAGAGTATAAATAGATCTCATTTTTGCAAATTTTTTAAGAATAATGACCACGGGAACATTTTGCAAGGTCCCAACTCAGGGCCCGAGAATAGGCTCTTGCAAATGTGAGGTCCTCAAACTTAAGCTTCATTAGCTTTAAGGGAAGTCTGCTTCTGACCTGAGGTTTTTTTTTTGTTTTTTTTGTTTTTTTTGTTTTTGGTGGGGAGCAGAGGGGTGTTGCAGGCTTGAGGAAGAAAAGAGCCCCAACTGTGGGTCTTTTCCTTTACAACTTTGCCAGTCTGTTATTAAACAGCCTATCAAGAGTCCCTCACTCTCACCCCTTAGGTTTTCACTGGTATTAGGCAAGAGGTACCCACTCTGCCTCCCTCTTTTCCTTCCTCCCCCACCCCAAGCACCCCCCCACACCCCCAGCCCCCCTACCATTCCCTGAGACTTGACTGGCTCCGAAGGTTCCAGACAGAGGAGCTAAACATGTTATCCGACAGACTAGCAAGACACAAAAGGCGGCAGGAATCAAATAAAAGGAAAACGCAGCAGCCACAGGTCAGTCCTGTATAAATATTTATGCTGGAGGAAAAGTTGGTGCCTGAGTAATGACCTTGTGGCTGGTATTAATAGAGATAATGTGTGTCTCTAGAACATGCCGCCAGAAAGAGAAAGGGGGTGGGTGAGGGGGAGGGGGAGGTAGAGCCAGAGCAAGAGCTGGGGAGGCTATAAATCTTCGTGCCAAGCCCAAGCCCCAGCTGACCTTTATACCTCTCTCTCCCTTTCCCTCCAGCGACACGCTCCCCTTGCCCCCTCCCAGTCTGCATCTTCAAATCCATTTTCCCTCCTTGGCCATCACGTCTCCAGGCAGGCGCTTACTCTCTGGGTATCAGCCATCTGGTGGGGATGAGTGGTGTCGATTTGGGTGGCTTGGTACCATACTGGGTACACCCTTGGGTATTTAATAAAGGTTCAGGGCCATGAATTGACTGAGCCATGCATGGAAGGAACCCAGCCTCTGTTGCCTCCAAGACAGGCCCGATTTTGTCTTTTAATGGCTTCCTTGTCTTCCTCGCCCTTCTCCAATCCAACCAGACTCCACTCTGTTGCAGCTAAGAGGAACTTCCCAAATGCAAATCTGACTCCTGCCAAAATGCCCTCAGTAGCTCCTGTGGTCTTGAGATCAAATCCAAACTCCTTAACACAGCCTGTAAAAGGCTTCGTGGCCTGGGTCCTGCTCACCTTTTCAACTTATTTCTCACACTCTCTATCCCTCGATGACTGCCCTCCCCAGCAATACTAAATTGATCCCTTTCATATCCAGATCATTGCACAGTTTCTTCCCCCTACCATGCCTTCTCTGTGCTTCCTTAATTCTTTGTTTGTTTTGTTTTTTGAGACAGGATTTCCCTCTGTCGCCCAGGCTGCACTGCATCTGTGGGATTATGGCTCACTGCAGCCTCCACCTCTCAGGCTCAAGAAATCTTCCCACCTCAGCCTCCTGAGTAGCTGGGACTACAGGCATGAGCCACCACACCTGGATAATTTTTAATTTTTTGTAGAGATGAGGTCTCACTATGTTGCCCAGGCTGACCTCAAACTCCTGGGCTTAAGCAATCCTCCAGCCTCTGACTCCCGAAGTGCTGGGATTATAGGTGTGAGCCACCACACCTGACCTCTCTATGCTTCTTAATGTGGCTATTTTGTCTGCATCTCATAGGTTTCTCTGGGGTCACACTCCTTCCTCCAGGAAGCCTTCCTTGCATTACCTGCTCCTTTTCTCTGCTCCCATGGCACCCTGTGCCTCTCACCATTACTCCCCTTATCCTGCTGAAGAGGCACTGTCATTTCACTTGCTGCTGCCATTCCTTCAAGACTCTGGGTACCATAAGAGCAACAAGCTGACATCAATTGCTACATCCACACACCTAACACAAAGCCAGGCAGAGAGTAGGTGCTCAGGAAATGTTTGTCAAATGAGCCACAGGGACAGGACCATACTCTCTTTCTGCTGGGCTCAGACTTCCCCTTCTTGGACACAAGAAAGCAGAAGCCCTAACATCTGGAAAAGGCCCCACCTTCATCCAGGACATGGGAACCCAGGATTTCTCTCCTTTCTTCGACTGCTGGGTGGAACTCCCATTCAGAGGCAGGTTTCCCAAGGTTGGGCAGGAGACGGCCCCCTTCTGCACACTAAATAAAGGAAAGAAATGGCAAAGAAGAGAAAAGCCAGCTGTGTTCAAAGGGCTTCAAAGGCATCATTCCAACATGAAGATACCAACACAAGGATCTGGATCTTAAGATGTAAAAGAAGATGGAGTTCAAGCCACAACTTCTTGGAAGCCGAAGAGGTCTCCCAGGGCAGGGAGCCACAGAGTGAGACGTTCCTGGAGGAAACTTGAGGCCTGGAGCCACTGCACCCTCCGCCCCTTCCTGAAACAAATTCTGATTTCAGATTTTTAGTACTTCTCTGCCTGAAACCATAGTGGAAGAATCTGTCCTTTGAACGCCCTGGTCTCTGCGCTCCTGGGCTGATTAAGGTCTGTCTGTACTATGTAAGGCCGGAAGAAGCCGAGCAGCATCGAGCACCTCTGCATGCCTGCCCTGAGCACACGTTGTTTCCTTTCATCTTCAAGATGCCCCCAGAGCATAGGAAACATTGTGCCTATTTTCCACATGAGGCAGCTGAGGCTGGTAAGGATCACAGCCTAAATTCAACCCCGGATGGTGTAACACCAAGTCCAAGAAGCTCTTTCTTCTCAAGTATCCTGCCCTGCCATTTAGAATATGCATGCCCCATTGGACACCACCTCTGACTGTCACCCCACCTCTTTATTCCGTCTCCCCAGTCCCAACCACCCTAAAACCACATACCAAGCTGATGGTCCATACTTGTTGTATCCTTAGACCTGGCTGGTCTGACTAGGCCCATTGACTGTGACATGGGATAAAAAGCAAAGCTAGAGGCTGCAGGGTGAGCCCCTGAAGAAGGGCACTTCCCCACTGTGTGACCTTAAGTACTTCTCTGAAGAAGGCTGCAAAGGCAAGGAGATGCTTGTACGCCTATGCTCATTATAGCAGGATTCACAATAGCCAAGAGGTGGAAACAGCCCAAATGTCCATCAACTGATGAATAGATAAACAAAATGTGGTCTATCCATACAATGGACTATTATTCAGCCTTGAAAGAAAGGAAAGTCTGCTATATGCAACAACATAGATAAAACTTGAAAGTATTGTGCTAACAGAAAGAAACGGACATTGAAAGGTCAAATCATATGATTCCACTTATATGAGACACCTAGAGTAGTAAAATTCATAGACATAGAAAGTAAAACAGTGGTTGCCAAGGGCTAGAGGGAGGGGAAAAAGGAGAGTTATTATTTAGCAGGTACAAAATTTCAGTTTGGGAAGATGAAAAAGTTCTGGAGATGAATCGTGGTGATTGGTTGCACAACAATATGAACTGAATTGTATGCTTAAAAATAGTTAAAATGATAGACTTTATATCTGTTACCACAATTTTTTAAAAAAGCAATGGGAGGAGAGGCAAGAAGTAAATCAGGATACAAGAAAATGGCCAGGCAGTGTGGCTCACACCTGTAATCCCAGCAGTTTGAGAGGCCAAAGCAGCAGGCCAGCTGGAGGCCAGGAGTTCAAGACCAGCCTAGGCAACATAGTGAGACCCCATCTTTGTGGAAAATTAAAAAAAAATAGCCAAGCATGGCAGCACACTCCTGTAGTGCCAGCTACTCTGGAGGCTGAGGTGGAAGATTGCTTGAGACCAGGAGTTCAAAGCTGCAGTGAGCTATGATCACACCACTGCACTCCAGCCTGGGTGATGGAGCAAGATACTGTCTTCAGAAGAAAAAAAAGAATAGAAGAACAAGAAGGCACCTGGCAGTGGAAGTAGGAAGAAGGAAGGCTAGTTGGGGGATTTAGGGAGGCAGGACAACCTCAGGTTACTAAATCTTCCACTGTCATTTGCACGAGACAGGGTGCTTAGCAAATTCCTGCATGGAAAACTCTCCTCTAGAAGCATATAGAATATAGGTAATAATTGCCCTTCTCTTGTACACCTGAGTTCAGAATGATTGGCCTCACCACAAGTAGGCCAAGAATATCCAATCAATTACTGCTCCAAATGCCTTCACTAATTTAGGGCTCAAAAAAGGAAAAGATTATAAAAGTAATTTGGTGGTTTCAAATGTATTTTCCCCTTGAAAACAGCCTTAAAAAGAGCAAAACCACAGCAATTTTTTGCAAAATGAAATTTAGCCACTACTTGTTTTTAATGTAGATATATTTTCAATTTTAATAAAACTCAAAGCATCCAGAATGCATTATTAATATGTCATGGCTTCAGCTCCTGGGACAAAATGTTTTCAGCCCCTCCAGAGTTTGCAGTGCAAATCTTGAATACCGGTGCAATCATCAGGTGTAGAGAGCAAAGTGAAACTGACCCTCCTGATTATAGGTTCACACCAACTCCACCCAAAAATGGCCTTGTGGCACCTGATATAACTCACTTTTCTACCACTCTAATTAATGCTTTACTTCCTCACAATGCTTTCTGGAATCAGGCTTGGGGACAGTATCTGATCCCAGGGATGCAGTGAGTAACATGAGCAGCAATGACATTGACCTCCTATGACTCATCATCTACACAGGTGTAACAGGGAGGGTCCTTTGTAGACTCTCATCTTACAAGGACATCTGACACCATGTGACATGGAGACCTTATGCCCTGGCACCCCTGGAGTGGGGTGGGGAATCCCACATCTGTAAAGTCGGCCACTCACCATGGTGTCAGCCATCCAGCTCCCCTGTCATAGTCCCTTCACACCCTGTGACGGTGTCAAAAGGCATGTGTTCATGTTTAATTCCATCAAGACCCAGAATTCTGCCTAAGGCTCCTCTGTCTCCTCCACATAGCCACCAAATAGGCTTTGGAAGACAGGAGATCAAGAATAATTTTTCACTGAAGTAGTACGTATGCTCTTTGTCTCCATGTCACGCCAAGAATATACAGATGCAGAGCTCAGGAAGCCTAGAATTTGGGCTTTGACGATCACTGTGTCAAGCCCCCTCCTGCTATCTCAAAGCGAAAAGGGGGTGAGGATATGCAGGGGCTACAAATGGAACCAGAATAGATTAGGATACAAAGCAACTTCTCAACTCCTCAGTCTCCTCTCCTATCCCTTCTCTTTTGTCCCTTCTTTCTTTGTCCTTCTTCCTCCCATCCCTCTCCCCTCCACCCCTTTCTCTCCTCCCCTTCTTCTCTCCTCACCCTTCCTCTCCCCCTCTGTGTCTGCTCCTAATCTGCTCCATCACCCTCAACTCTATCACATTCCTGTTCTCAGAATATTGCCCCAACTTGGCTCCTGTCTGCCCCAGTCCCACCTCAACCTCTTGCCCTTCCTCACATTTGGGTTCACTCAGTTTATGTTCCTAAGAGATCATCTGATTGCCCAGTCTCACCCCTACTCATGGGCAAACCTACTGATTGGCTGCCCTTGATGAGGTGCCCACCTCTCATCCAATAAATTATGGCTAGGGTGAATGAAGGGAACAGGATCATGTGATACACAACATGGCCGCCTACATAATGAAAACTCAGGCCAGGAAAGTTTCGTTTAGAAGGCAGTGTGGGCAGAGCAAGCTTGCTCCATACATCCTGCATTGTACAATTGAGGACCATTTCTCAATAACGGAAGCAACTTGGAGAGAAAGGTTGAATGGCATCATGAAAATAAAACAAGACTTAGAATTAAAGACTAAAGTTCAACTCTTGGCTCTACCCCTTAACAAGTCATTTACCCTCTATGACCCTTAATTTCTCCATCTGTTAAATGGAGAAAATCAAGCACGTCCTGACTACCTCTCTGGCATGTTCTGTGAAGCAAATTAGCTTATTGATAAGAAAGTGTTCTGTAAGCTGTAAAGTACTACATACATAGACACACACACACACAAATACATACACACATCCCAATGTATAGCTGTATATACATATATACATCATACATGTTATTTATATGTAAAATTATTTGTAATTATATAGACAGTTATTTCCCAAGGTCACCTAGCTACTTATTAGAAGCATGTTATCCAACCTGACTTTGTTAATTTGTGCATCAAACTGCTACCTATTCGGTACTATGCTCACTACCTGGGTACTATACCCATGTAACAAACCTGCACATGTACCCCCTGTATCTAAAATAAAAGTTGATTCTCAAAAAATACTAACTTGATTCTACCTAGAATTAAGCATGGTTTATCTTTACGGCGGGGGAGTGAGGGATGTATAAGACAAATTTTCCAAAAGGAGAGGGAAGAGAATCTGTTTCAGGGCCCTTGTCCATGGCAGGCCCTTATGATATGCTATCTCACTTACTCCTCACAGCTCTGTGTGAGCTCTATGTTACCATTCTTTATTTGATGAGATCACACAGCAAATAAGTGAGTACATTCAGATTCAAACCCCAGGCAGGTTGACTCCGTCCCACCAATCCCCCCTCCTACCAGTAGGCTTGCAAGGAGGTGTCTTCAACACTTTCCTCTCCTGGTTCACTTTGCTTCTCTCCCTCCATTCTCTCAGCCCTTCCTGGGACCATCAATACTTAATGCTTTATGCTATCACATTTGTAGCTGTGAAGGATCCAATTGTGTGGTTGATCTATAATGTAAGGTTAATGTCTAATTAGCTCGTTTAACATTTCTTTTGTGGATAATTCATGATAGGTCATTAACAAAAGCCAGGGCAAGTGGAGGGGCATGTTTGTTGCCATAAATCAGTGACCTAAAAACATCATAGAAAGAAGAAAATGCATGTATTATTCAGGTCAAACAAAGAGCCAGGTCTGCATATGGCTTCTCAATACTCTTCTGACCCTGAGGTCAAGGGACCAAGTGCAAGGCATGAAAGGTATTTGCTATTAGTAGAAATGGACTGCCCAGGGCCTAATGGGGACACATATCTCCGGGTCAATACAATGGCTACACAACTCATGGTTAAACTTATGATCCCCACATGGAAAAGGCTTCTTCAACCACCAAATAATGCACACCTCCCACACCAGTAAGTAGCTACCAGTTATTAAGCACCTACTATGTGTCAAGCTAAAGCATGTGTCTGGGATGTGTGTGTGTCTGTGTGTGTGTGTGCATGTGTGTGTTCCATGTATAAGATAGTTATTGCTGCATGACAAACTGCCCCAAACTCAGTGACTTTTCTTAAGTCTGTGTCTTGGCTGGTTGCTGCTGTTGATCTGGGTTAGTTCATCTGATCTCAGCTGGATTCTCTCATGCATCTGTGTTCAGCTGCTAGGTTGGCTAGGGCCTGCTTGTGTAGTATGGCTTCATTCACATGTCCCACTATTGAATGGTGACAGGGGTGACTGGATCACATGTCTCTCATAATGAAGTCAGGTTTCCATGAGGTAGATTAGAAGCATGTAAAACCTCATGAAGCTGAGGCTTGGAACTGGCATGCTGTCACATTGGCAGCATTTTATGGCCCCTTTTAATGGCCACCATTTTATTGGCTTTTGTAAGTCACAAGCCCAGCTTAGATTCAGCTTAGGCAGAGCAATTGACCCTATCTTTTGATGGAATTAGCTGCAAAATCACTGCAAGGGTGCATAATGGATGAAGAATTGCAGCTTTTTTTTTTTGCAATTATTCTACCACAATCCATGTATTCCTTATAACAAACCATTTATCCATTCTTCCAATATTTATTGAACACCTACCATGTGTCAAAAGCTGTTCCAGATGCTGAGGAAATAATCAGTAAATAAGAGAAAGTCCCTACTCACACAGAACTTAACATCTAGTGGTGAATAAGAGACAAAGACTGAACAGGTGAATAAATACATATATAAGATACTCTTAAATAATATTAAATGCTATAATGAAAATATAACAGAGTGACTGCCTATTAGGTACGTGGCTAGAGGTGATTTTTGATGTTGTGGTCAAGGACAGCCTCTCTGGGGAGGGAACATTTGGCCTGAAACCTGAGTGATGAGAAGAAATCAGCCTGCAGAACTGGGAACAGCACATTTTAGCAAAAGGAAGAGCAGGTACAAAGGTCCTGAGGCAGGATTGCCTCAAGAAATAGGAAAATGGCCAGGTGTGGCTGGAACACAGTAGGTGAGAGGAAGAGGAGCATCAGGCAAAGCCCAGGAGGTATGCGGATCCTTGGAGGGAGGTAGGATTACTTTTAAAGAAAACAAAACTCAAAGGGGAAGTAATTTCCCAAAGGAGGTCGTAAAAATAGCTAATGAGTGACAGAACTAGGATTCAAAACTGGGACCCTCTGAATTCCAAGTCCATGTTCCTTCCACTTTCCCATTCTGCCTCCTGGGATAAACATCAAGCTGGGGCTTTTTCATGTAGGCAAACAAGATCGCAAGCAGGAGAGTCTAACATCAGAGTCTCTCACGGAATTTAGCAACAGCCAAAGCTGGACGCTGAAGCTCAGTCCAAGCTAATCTCGCCTTTGGCTGGTTCTGCCCCATGCTGCTCCTTGGGCAGCCGACAGACAAACCCACACACCACAGGGTCCCAGGACAAGTTGGTCACAGCGGCATCCCAGCTGTCTTCCCAGAGTGTATCCTTTCTCACTGGTTCCATATTTACCAGGAGGCCCTATTCTTCTCCCTATCTTGGGTCTTTCTTGGGGAGGGCATTTTTTTTTAAACTTGTTAGCTCAGGGGTATAAGTGCAGATTTGTTACATAGGTAAACTTGTGTCATGGGGATTTGTTGTACAAATTATTTCATCACTCAGGTATTAAGCCTAGTACCCATTAGTTATTTTTCCTGATCCCCTCCCTCCTCCCACTTTCCACCCTCCAATAGGCCCCAGTGTATGTTGTTCCTGGGCAGGACATTTTACCTCCTAACTATCTATATTCCACCAGGAATCTCTAAGACTTTTGTTGTAGAATCTCTGCCTGTACCTGGAAAAGAAAAGCAAGATGGACAGATAATCTGCTGATAAATCCCATACAAGATCAGGAAGCCCCAGTTCAAGAATTCAGTTGTCTTACTTGTTGGCTTACAGTTACTTTACTTGTTGGCTAAACCCATGCAAAGCTTTGCATTGATTAAAATATGACATCCATTTATGCCAAATATTTTCATAAAGCACTTCCTATGTGGTGTCAGGGACTGGTGTAGGCAGTGGGGATAGAGCAGAAAAAAAACCGCTAAATATTATGGAGCTTGCATGCTTTGCAAGAGAAGATCAACAGTGAGCAGACTAAATGCATGGTGTGTAAACTGGTCATGATTGCAGTGGTTGATAATGAAGCCAGGCAAAGGGGGAGAATTCTTAGGGAGGGGTAAGAGTGATCGGGGAAGGCCTTTTGGATGACATGCTAGTTGTGTAGGAATTGAAAATGAGGGACTGAGCCACAAGGCCAGTTAAGGCAATAGCAAGAGTGTACCTGGACTACTCTGGAGCCCTAGGGAAACCAGGGTGGCTGGAACAGAATGTGCAAGTGAGGAGTGGCCAAAAATGATATTAGAGAGATCACAGGTCAAATCTTGTAGAGCTTGGTAAGGTACTGTAAAGAAACTTTCACTCGGAACGAGAGGGGGGCTCCTGGGAAGTTCTGAGCAGAGGAGGGACGTGATGTGACATGTTTTCAAAGTGTCTTTCTGACTGCTATGGTAAGCAGAGGCTGCAGGGGTGGAGGCTGGGGGAAACAGAGATCCATGAGGATCCAGATACCATTGCTCTGCTGAGTGGCAATGGTGGCTCAAATTTGGGGTGTAGCAAATAAGAAGTGAGCCAGGCATAGTGGCTCACGCCTGTAATCCGAGCACTTTGGGAGGCCGAGGCGGGCAGGTCACTTGAGGCCAGGAGTTCAAGACCAGCCTGGTCAACATGGTAAAACCCTGTCTCTACTAAAAATACAAAAATTAGCCAGTCGTGGTGGTGGACACCTGTAATCCCAGCTACTTGGGAGACTCAGATATGAGAACTGCATGAGCCTGGAGGGCAGAGGTTGCAGTGAGCCGAGATTGCACCACTGCACTCCAGCATGAGCAACAGGGCAAAAGTGAGCAAGACGGGTCATCAACAAATAATTGCCCAGTGGATAATTTAATTGAAAATTGTGAACAGAACCACAACAGAGAGGTACAGGATGCTGTAAGAAAGCATAACAAGGAAACTGGTAGTCCGTTCTTTTGGAGGGTGGATGGTTTCAGGCAGGGAAGGCTTCCCAGAAGCAGCAGCATAGAAGCTGCAACTTGAAGCTGGAATTGGTTACGTGAAAACGAAGAGAAGAATATCTCAAGTAGAAGGAAGAGCATATTCAAAGGCCCTGGGGCAGGAAGCAGAGGGTCCCGTATGGCCAATGGAATGCTCATAGAAGATGCTCTCCTTCTGTGATGTGCTGCCCTGTTTGCTTGCTGCTGAAATAATTAATGAGTCAGACACTTCACAGCAAGATGACCACACTGGCTCCACATTGCTGTTACTGCTGTTTTCCTCACTCCTTGGTAGATAGTTTGGAAGGATCCAGACCTCCCCACCTAGTAAATGAATGATGAGGACAGATCAGACCGGCTAGGTTGCAGTGAGATTAACGATGATGTGAGTTTGACCTGTCCAGAGTTGAGTGCCCCTCATTGAGAAGAACCTGAGAAACCCTCCTTTGTCCCAAATCCCTCATAGACAACTCGGCTGCTTTACTGAACTAAGCAGGTGTGGGGGAGATGCCAGGATGGCCCCTCCAAAGGGGAATGAAGATTAAGCACATAAGCTGGCCTTTTAAAAGCTTAGCAGCCCTTTCCAATTGGATCCCAAATGGACCACACTTGAGAAATTAAATAAACAGCATTTGTCAAGGGCTTTTGTGGGCTCCCAGCTGTATTTATTTATAGGTTGGTCTGTTATTTATGGGCACTCGTGCTCCGTATAAAAGCTTTGTCGGAGAGAAGTGGTGGGGAGGAGGCAGAGTGCTTTAATGCTTACTTGGACACTTAAGTATTCGCTCCAAGGAGCTCAAACAATGAGCATTTGCTGCTTTTGTCCCACAGAAGCTGGGTGCTAGTGTACAATAAGATGGCATTCCTAGAAATGCTGGACCACCGAGCACACCCCCAAAAGAAAGAGTCAGGAGTCCCTTTGGAGACCTCTGAGGGCCAGTTCCCAAAGAACAGTTGAAAATTTCAGATCAGCCACATCTTTGACTCACTGTGACTTCCAACACACAGCTGATAAGGCCCAATAGTTATGTTTTCAGAAACATACCCACAACTCCTGGCACAAAGTGGAGGCTCCGTAGATGTTGGTGAATGAAGGAATGAAGAAATGCAAGAATAAATGACTATTTGCTGTCCTCATAGCTAAGAAACCGAAAAAGAAGAGACCTCAAGATGTCACATGGAATATATTGATCAAAAAGCAACCTAGTAATACATACCTAGGACCTTAACATTTCCACGGCTTGGATTTAGTGGTTCTCTCCTAAGAATTCATCCAAAAGAAAAATCCAAGCATTAAGAAGAGAAAAGGGAAGGGAAGGGAAGGGAAGGGAAGGGAAGGGAAGGGAAGGGAAGGGAAGGGAAGGGAAGGGGAGTGGAGAGGAGGGAAGGGAAGGGAAAAGGAGGGGAAAAGGAGGGGAAAGGGAGGGGAAAGGGAGGGGAGGGAAGAGGAAGGGGAGGAGAGGGAAGAGGAAGGGGAGTGGAGGGGAGGTAGGGAGGGGAGGGGAGGGGAGGGAAAAACATGCCAAAATAAAAGGTGTTCATTGCTTTGTTCTTTGTAATAGTGAAGAATTAGAAAACATGGAATATCAACATTACAGGAATTATTAATTACCTGCTTTGATAAACTATTAAAAATTTGTTCATAAACACTGGGTGTGGTGGCTCACGCTTGTAATCCCAGCACTTTGGGAGAACGAGGCAGGCAGATCACGAGGTCAGGGGTTTGAGACCAGCCTGGCCAACATGGTGAAACCCTATCTCTACTAAAGATACAAAAAATTAGTCGGATGCGCCTGTAATCTCAGCTACTCGGGAGGCTGAGGCAGGAGAATCACTTGAACCCAGGAGGTGGATGTTGCAGTGAGCCGAGATGGCACCACTGCACTCCAGCCTGGGCAACAGGGCAAGACTCCGTCTTAAAAAAAAAAAAACAATAAGACAGAAATGCTCATGTTAAAATATTACATGAGATATGCAGTATAAAATATTACCTTAATGGTATTATTAAACTTAGGTGTGTGTTTTCAACCATTAGAGAAAAAACACTGAAACAAAAACACTCCAAGACATTAAGTGTGGTTATGTTTGGACAAAAGAGCTATGAGTAATGTTTTCTTATGTCTTTTATTTTTCTGAATGTTCAAGTTTTTATTAAAAATCACAAAGGAGGTTGATGATTAAAAAATAATCAATTCACCATTTAATCAATCAGTTGCATTCTCCCACCTCAAGGAAAAACCCTCTTTACAGCATACAAAGAAAGATAATCCACTGGGGTATTTTTATTAACACTATTACAAAATATTTTTTAATGTCCTATACACGTACAACTGTTTTGCCGTCATGGAAGCAAAAGAAATGTCCACACAAAAAATTAAAATATCAGATCACCAATTAATCATTTTGGCTTCTTTTAAGTGCAATGAACAAAAATATGTGTTCTCTTTCTATGTGTGTCTTTTTTCTCCCTGCCTTTGTATATACATCAGCCTCCAAGCCATATGAAAGCTTCGTACCCATCCCCACTATCTTCCCTCTTCCAGGAATTGTGGTCTTTCTTTGTTCATTTGCTCCTTTTCTTGTAACTGAGAGCTATAAACCTTCTTTGTACCCATCACTTGCCCACAACCTTAGTACTTTCTGCATGAACTCAGATAAGATGGCAGGGCAAATGGAAACCACAGATTCAGAATCATGTGGACTTGAGTTCAAATCCCAGCTCTGTCACTTCCAAGCTGCATGACCTGGGGCAAGTCATTTAATTGCTCCATCTGTCAGTTTCCAAGCTTGATAATGGCCAAAAGGAGATCATCATAAAAACAAAGTAAGAGTTGCAAAAGTAATGATCAACACATCTTAGCCACCTAGAGCATCCCAGACATTATGCTAAGAGCTTTACGTGCATGAAGTCATTTATGTCTCACCATAAGCCAATGAGGTAGATGCTTTTTTCCCACTTTACAGATAAAAAGGCAGATCCATAAGTAACAGTGATCATTCACAGGGTGCACATCTTATAGTTAGATCCTGTTCTGATTCCACCCTAACAACAACTTGCCTACTGGTTCATTATTATACTCATTTTCTAGATAAGGTCACTGAGGCTCAGAAGGACAAAGGGTTTGAGCATATTCTCCTGGCCTATAGGTAACGAAGGCAGGACTCTCATTTTGCCATCTCTCTCCCAACTTCTAAGTTATATGTGCACTTGGTAGATACTTGACAACTGGTGTGATCCAGGACAAGGAGAGGAAGCATGTGCTGCCCAGACCGCTGTGGCTCAGCCCTTCACAGAGCTGGGTAACCTTGGCTCCTGACAATTACCCTACCATCAAACCAGGGGTCTGGTTACAGGGAAAAGCTTTGAAGCAGGACAAGCTCAGGGGACATGGACATTGCTCAAGCCACTGCCACATCTCTGTAGTAATGGCTACTGTCTGACTAGATGCAATCAATACCCTTCTGCCCTTCCCACACAGATGGGAGGTCATAAAAAGAAATCTCCAAGGAGACAAATAAAAGTTGATGCCCAAAGTCTAGCCTGGGATGAAAAGTTGTTTTAGTCCAGAGCAAATTAAACATCAGCGCTGTCCTTTGAGGCATCAGCAAGGCAACAAAGTGTGGGATGTGGGGATGTTACATGGAATCCTTTAGAATGGGTTCAACTGAGGAGTTTGCCTATTTCACCTGGATTATTGCAACTCGTATTGAATTGTAGATGTTCTATGAGTAAGGACCAGACCGTAGCAACCCGGGCTATTTGGGGTGAAAAGGAAAGTGGGGAGCCAGAGTTTCACATGTGTGAATTATTTGGGTTTGAAATGAACATATTCTGCTGGGCATGGAGGAGAGGCCGGGGCGGTTGGTTCCCATTAAGCTTAGTAGCCTGAGGATTCCCTGCATGCAGATGCATTCCGGCCCCAGCACCATCCCAGAGGCCAGAGCGCCAGGGACCCAGTGCAGCCTGAGAATGTCCCTCCAGCTGCTGACGCAGGGGACCCCAGTGTTTCCACTGGGCCTCTAGAGAAAGAAGTAGCCAGAAAGGCTCGGGACACCAAAACTTCCATCCCTCCCATTTTCCAAGGCCCCTAATTAGGCATTTACATGACAGACCGATTAAGTCCCTGAAAGAGTGGTTACAGGCTATTGGGTAATTAGTGACATTTTTAAAATACATTTTTAACCACACAAAACCATGTTTACACAATGTTAAGGAACTGGCTTCAAACCACAGGAGTGGGAAAAAAAAACCTTAGCAAAGGCAGAGAAAGTCTGGCTCTGGAAGGCAAAGGGCAGTTGTGTTCCCTTTGATGTTCAGAGCATGGGTTTGGTTGATCTGCCTAAGATCTGATGGTCAGTTTTTCTGACTTCCGGAATCTGAGGGCCTACTATGTACCAGGCATTGCCCGGCGAGTATGTACCAGACGTTGCCTGGTAAGTTGAAGATACAAGACGGATCATAAATCAGTCTTTTAACTTGAGAAACTCACAATTCTCAGTTGCACTGTGGCAGTTTTTATATTGCTATCTTCATTCATGCATACACTTAGTAATCCATTCAACAAACATCAACTGAGCACCTACTGTGTGCCCAGCAAGGAAATATAAAGATAAGAAAAGGCGTGCTCTCCTGTTGAGGAGTTCCCAGTTAGGAATCCTCTTGAGACTCTGTTTGTTATTAGTATCTTTGTGCAGTCATGTCTATATTCAATGAATGTGCCAAGCTCCTCTCTAGACTCAGGATTCAAAGTAGAGGGAGATCTAGATTTTTCCTAAACTCACAGCCCTTATGGATTTCGTTTTTGCATTACTTTCAATTCATTAATTTACTCATTTATTCACAAATATGCTGAGCTCTTACTCTGTAATAGACACAGGGCTAAGTCCTGACATTCAGAAATAAATAAGATCTGGTCCCACCCTGGGCTCAGAGAAAGATGCATGTGTTCTGTGGGACTCTTCACAATAGCGAAGACTTGGAACCAACCTAAATGTCCATCGGTGACAGACTGGATTAAGAAAATGTGGCACATATACACCATGGAATACTATGCAGCCATAAAAAAGGATGAGTTCATTTCCTTTGTAGGGACATGGATGAAGCTGGAAACCATCATTCTGAGCAAACTATCACAAGGACAGAAAACCAAACACCACATCTTCTCACTCATAGATGGGAAATAAACAATGAAAACACTTGGAACCAGGGTGGGGAACATCACACACCGGGGCCTGTCGTGGGGTGGGGGTAGGGGGAAGGGATAGCATTAGGGGAAATACCTAATGTAAATGACGAGTTAACGGGTGTAGCACACCAACATGGCACATGTATACATATGTAACAAACCTGCATGTTGTGCACATGCACCCTAGAACTTAAAGAATAATAAACAAACAAACAAATAGATAGATAGATAGATAGACAGATAGATAGAGATAAATGTTGCATGCGTCCATGGTGTCAGCAGAGTGAGCAGCTGACAGGTGAGTTGCTAGGTGAGCTCCATGGTGAGGCAGCCCCAGAGGAGAGAAATAAGCCCTGAGTGGTCAACTATTGACTGGAAATTGCTAAGTCATGAGTTTAAACAAAGATCCATGAGGGTGGCCAGGCATGGTGGCTCACGCCTTTAATCTCAGCACTTTGGGAGGCTGAGGCAGGCGGATCACCTGAGGTCAGGAGTTCGAGACCAGCCTGGCCAACATGATGAAACCCTGTCTCTGCTAAAAATACAAAAATTAGCTGGACGTGGTGGCAGGCACCTGTAATCCCAGCTACTCAGGAGGCTGAGGCAGGAGAATCACTCAAACCTGGGAGGTGGAGGTTGCAGTCAGCTGAGATCACACCATTGCACTCCAGCCTGGGCGACAAGAGCGAAATCCTCTCTAAAAATATATATATATATATCCACAGGGAGAAAGATATGGAGTTGTGGACAAAAAAGGGTCTGAGATGGAGGCAGGCAAAAGAGGAACAATGGAGAGGGCTGATTCTAGTCCCTGCTTTGACATTAAATAAACCTGGAACCTTAAGCAAGCCACTTACTGCCTTTAGCCCTCGGTTTCCCATCTGTAAAATGGAGAGCTCACCATCTACTGCATAGATTAATAATGATGACAGTAATAGCAACAATGTCCTATTAATATATGTAATATTGTTAATATTAACTATAATCACTGACATTTTTAAGCACTGTTCATCCAGGTACCCTTCCAAATTCTTTACATGCACTAGTCATTTAACCCTTATATAACCCAAATGAGCCGGTGCTACTACTTAGCCCCATTTTGAAGATAAGGAAAGCAAGACCCAGAGAGGGTAAGTAACTTGCCCAAGAACACAAAGCTAGTAAGCACCTTCAGGATGCCTGTTCTCAGTCCCTGTGAAATGAGATCATGTCTAGAACATGGAAACACCATGCTGACACATGCAACTGCTCAGCAAAGGTTACTGGAACTCAAAGCTGGAAGGACTAAAAATCACTAATATGTATATTTAGCAGAGGGTGGCCAGATCTCCAACTGAATTCGTTTTCCGTTGCTGTGTAACAAATTACTACAAATTTGGCAGCTTAAAACAACACACGTTTATTATCTTACAGTTTCCGTGGGTCAGGAGTCCAGGCAGAGTTTAGCTGGGTCCTCTGGCTCAGAGTCTCACAAGGATGCAATCAGCACATTGGCCAGGCTGCATTCCTTTCTGGAGGTTCCAGGTCTTCTTTTAAAGTTCACATAGCTGTCCGCAGAATTTGGTTTCTTGCAGATGTAAGAATGAGGTCCTCACGTCCTCGAGGGTACCTGCAGTTCCCTGCCATGTGGCAGTTCACATCATACCAGCTTGCATCTTCAAGGCCTGCAGAGTCCTTGGCTCCAGTCTGCTGGGACAGAGTCGCACGCAACATAACATAGTCACGGGAGTGATATTCCATCCCCTTTGTCATAGTCTACTGGTTAGAAGAAAGCCACAGGTGCTGCCCACATACAAGGGCAGAGGATTGTACAAGGACATAACTTGGGGGGGATGGTCACTTTCGAGCCAACCCACTACACAACTAGGGTAGTAAGTGTTAGAGTGTAACTGGATTGTTTGCAACTCAATGGATAAATGCTTGAGGGGATGGATACCCCATTCTTCATGAGGTTCTTGCTTCACATCGAACGCCTGTATCAAAACATCTCATGTATCCCATAAATATATGTACCTGCTATGCACCCACAAAAATTAAAAAGAAAATAAAAAGTAGAGATCCAGGCAGGCAGTGCCTGCTAAACCACATAGAAAGAGAGAGAGAGAGGAAAAAAAAACCCTACCTAGGGGATTGGTGGGGATTGGTGGGCCCATCTCTATCTGGGGTTTCTCTGGCCTCCCCAATTTGATCAGGAATATTTCATGTCCTTTTTGGTGTTCCCATAGCTCTCTGTACTTCTGGGAGCCTCAGGGCTATAGTTTTTTCATCCACAAAATGAGGGTCATGTCCTCATTTGCAGGATTGTAGAAATAATTTAATGACATAGATACGTATTTGCCTTATTGAGCACTTACTATGTGCTGAGCTCAGTTCAAGGGCTCTGTATGGATTGTCTCATTTCATCCCACAACAACCCTGTAAGTCCATCACTATTATTGACTCCATTTTGCACAGGCAAAAACTGAGGCTCAGAGAGGTCAAGTCTCCTGCCAAGGTCACACAACTAGTAATGGTGGAAACAAAATTCAAGCACAGGGAGAGTCTGTGCTCTTCACTGTAGTACTAGACAAATTCCCTTGTTTAACAGAGGCAGTGGTACATTGGAATCCCTTAGTAAATAGTAGGTGTGATTTTAACCATTTATCATGTATCATTATTTACATTGTCATTACATACTTATCTTGCATCAGGGCTCATCACACTGTATGACAGAGCATCCCGTTTAATTCTCTTCCCCTACTGGACACAGAGGAGGTCTTTTTTTCTTACTCGTTATTCTCCTAATGCCCAACACAATGCCTGCACACAGTGGCACTCAGTAAATGTTTATTGAATGGGATTGACCTGTGCTATGGATTTGCAAAGGACTTTCACAACAGTGGGGTAGACAGGAAGCAGCTACTATGACCCCATTTTACAGACAGGAAGCAGATATCCTGAATGAACCCAGCTTGCTTACTCTGGCTTAGTCTTGCACAGCTAATAATCAGAGCTGAACTCAGTTCTTCTGTCTCTGCCTAAGACTGCATGTGCATCCCACAGTGACAGTGATGGTAAAAGATGTTACAACCATGATAACCATTTATTGAGCAGGGCTAGACTCTATGCTAAGAAATGTACCTGCCATATTTTGAAGCCCATTTTATAGATTAAAAAGCAAGACTAAAGATTAAATCACTTGCTCAAAGTCTCCCTGGTAGATTTCAAAATGGTCAAAATCTTTCAGTCCTCCCTGGATTCACATACTTTGGAATGGCACTTTGCAGCTATCTCCCATCAAGAAGTGGAGTTTGTTTCCCAACCTCTCAAATCAGAGCTGATCTTGGATTTGATTTGGCCAACAGAATAAAGCAGAAGTGATGATATGCTAGTGCTAAGTCCAGGTCTCAAGAAATCTTGCAAACTCACTCTTCTCTCTCTTGCATTCTCTCTCTCTCTCACTTGCTCTCATTCTCGCTCTAACACACTCTCTCTCTCTTTCTCTCTCTCTCTTCTGCCACTTGAGCTGCTATGTGCATGGAAATAAGGCCTAACTAACCTGCTGGAGGAGAAGAGGCCTCATGGAGCAAAGGTGACAGGCAGGGCTGAGCTATCTTAGACCAGCCAGCTCCAAGCTGACCCAGAAGCTGTCTGAAAACACATGAAAAACCCCAGTGAAGACTTGCCTAAACCAGCAGAGCCAGCCAGTCAATCCACAGATGCATCAGTGAAATAAATGTTTGCTGTTGTAACCATCAAGTTTTGGAGTGGTTTGTTACACAGCAATAGCTAACTGATACAGTCGTGTGGCTACTCAATGGCAGATTTAAATCCCAGTTCCATCTAACTCCAGAGCTCTCTTATTTTTCATTTCATACCTTTCAGTCCTCATGCGAGACTCAAGTCCCAAAGCCTTGCCCAACATGCACATGCAGTGCTGTGTGGTGTCATGTGTCAGTGACTCTGCCTCCTTGGCCAAACAGTCATGGGCCAGTCTCCAGAGCAGACTTCAGCCTTTTACCAACAGCTCATCTGACACATGGCCTGAAATGCCTCACTCACTCCTCCCCACCCATTCAAACCCTTTGCATTCTTGAAGGTCCAGTTCCAATGCCATCGCCTGTAGGAAAAGTCAGAGCCCTCCAGCTCCATCTTCAGACTATCATAACATCTCCATTTACCACGCCTGCAACATTCAACACCACCTGCATCTACTTTCTTGTGATTAGTTTGTGTGCCCATATTTTATTTCTCTGCTTTGATTATATTTCTCCAGATATTACATAGAGTAGACCCTCAACTATTTCATTCCATTAACAAGTAGTTGTTGTAAACCCAGCACCATTCTAGCTCTGGAAATAAGCCTGTGGACCAGATATGCAAGGTCCTTATCCCCAGTAGGGAGACCATGTCATGAACTAGTAGACACATAAGAAAGTTCTACAGAGGAAATGGTGAAGTCTCATCTCCTAAACAGGAGATGAATTGACGCAATACTAGAGGGAAGGACTTCTTTAAATAGGGTGGTCAAGGAGTCATCTCTGAAGCAGGGGCTTATGAGCAGAGACCTAAAGCAATCAAAGGCATCAGCCATAAGAAGAACTCTTGAAACAAAGTCCCAGGCAGAGGGAACAGCAAATGCCAAGTCCCCAAGGCCCTGAGAACAGCTCTTCAAGGAAAAGAAAGCAGGTAATCACAGCTACAGCAGAGTGAGCCCAAGGAGGTGAGGTGGAAGATGAAGTCAGAGAGATAGACACAGACCAGGCCATGAAGCCACTGGGGAAGGGTTTAAGCTCATTCCGAGTTGAGTTGGGTCAACGGAGCACTTCCCTCTTGGGAGCTCATGAACTGAACCACATGCAGCCGCAGGAGCGCATCAACCCTATCTTTTGTGAGTATCATAGTCTTTTCCCAGCCTGGATCAATTATGCTACTGATCTCATCACTCCTGACTTCAAAAGGGGGAAAAAAAGACAGAGAATTTACAAAGAACGATAAACCCAGTTTGTAGCAAGCCGCAAGCCCACAAACTTTTACCTGCCTTTCCACTGCCCAGCATACATCACTCCCTGCCTTGCCACCAAAATACTGCCTTTATGCACAGCCAGCACAATAAAAAATAATTTTATGGAATAATATACCATCTAGGAGAAAAATCCTGGAAATAATATTTGCCTCAATGACTCAATCTAATTTGGGATGATCAAGGCTATTATTGGGGATGCCAGGTGACAGTTACAAGTTGCTGTTTATCAATGTTTGAAGAGCCCCAACTTTGCCATTGACTTACTGTGTGGCCTGAGGCAAATCCTTGTTCCTTCTAGCCTCAGTTTTCCCTACTTTAAAGGATAGATTTAGACAATCTATAAAGGGCTGTCTGTTCTACATATCTAGAAGTACACAAGTACTTCTTAAGGATTCCCTAAGACTGTACTGGGTAACACTGTCATTGGCAAGCATGAGGAGGAACAGTATTTGCACGCACCGCAGGTGGTCTTATGAATTGGTACAACTTTTGTGGATGACATTTGGTCACTATGCAACAAAAACCTTTTAAAAATAGCACAAACATTTGGATTCGGGAAATGTCCCGTGCCAGAATACAAAGTTCAATGGTTCCTAAGAGAAAGCAAGTTTGCTTGGTCCCCGCAAAAAGGACATTTGGCAATATCTGGAGACACTGAAGGGGGTGCTACTGGCATCCAGTAAGTAGAGGCCAGGGATGCTGCTGAGTATCCTACAAAACGCAGGACAGTGCCCACAACCAAGAACCATCTGGCTCAAAATGTCAAGAGGGCCACAGTTGAGAAATCCTGGTAGAGATAAAGAACATTCCTCACCCCAGTATTGTTTCCAGAGATGTAAAATAAAATTACAAAAATTGAACCAAAATACCTTAGTGCAAAATAAGAAGGAATGCATTAAATAATGTGCATCACACACGAAAAAGATTCAATGCAGTTGTGAAAAAATGAGCAGTTCTGTGGCCAAGAGCCCAAGCTCTGGAGACAGACTGCTGCCTGGGTTCAAGTCTCACGTCAACCACTAAGTACATGAATGACTGGACAAGTCTCTTTACCTTTCTAAGTCTCAGTTTACTCATCTGAGAAATGAATATGGAAGCCCTGGCTCTCTCACAGGGTTGTTGGGAGACTCTAAACATCACATGGGTGAATCTGGCACATAGTAGGTTCAGTTCATTCCTGGCCTCTACATGCATTTGGGTTTGCAACCCCAGAAAATAACAGAAAACAGCCATTTCTACTGAGAGGAGCCGGAAGCCAGCTGAGCATGATGACTTCAGACTCTGCCATTGACACTGAACTATAGTTATGTGGCGAGAGCATGAGACGGAGGCTTGATTTCACATTTTCTTAGAGGTGCCCTGTGCTGAGTATCTGACATACATTATCTCATTTCCACCTCACGACAACCCTATGAGACAGATGTAAGCATCATCCCTACTTTACATGTGGAGAAACTGAGGCTCAGAGAGGTAGGTAAGCTGTCCAAGGTCACTCACTGATAAGGAAGTGGTGCTGGTGAGATTCCACACCAGGTCTGTCCGATGCTGAAGCGCAGGTCCTCAGCCCTACATTGGATGACATTCCTAAAAGGCTTATTGAACACAGGTTTAAACAGGCTCTCTATAGAAGAGTTTACCAAGTCACATCTGGATAGAGTGACTGATTCATTCCAAGACCTTTAGTCTTGAAAGTCTTTCATCCTGGGAAACCCGTCAGTCCTAGGTACACCAGGATGATGGTTAACTTTCCTTGGGGTCAAGATGATGGTTCCAGCTCTGATTCCCTCAATGCACCTAGGCCTGGTGAGGGAGAGTTTATGAGTATGAACGTGCAGCTTTTCTAGGACTTAGAAACTTCTCTGACATGGAGAAAATGAGGCAACAGAGAGAGAGGCAGAAGCGCTGGCCAAAGTGTCAAAAACTCTGGCTCTGCTACAAATTCACTGCTTAAACCTGGAATCCAGCCATGTGCTTCTCTTATCCACTAAAAATAAATGGGATGGGGTTAACTTTCTCTGAAAGTCTTTCATCTGTCATGCCAATATCTAGCCTTCCACTTATCCATCCATAATATAGTATTGTGGTTGGCTGCCCAGATTTGAATACCTGCTCTGACTTTCTAGCTGTGTAACCTTAGGTAAGTTATTCACCTCTTTGAGCTTCAGTCCCCTCATCTTTAAAGTAGAGATAAAAATGGGAATCCACTTCACAGTACACGGAAGCTATTTATAATGGGGCTTTGGCATTTGGAAAATGTTCTGTAAATATCGGTTGATATTATATCAATGCTCTTTGTAAACCAATTTGTTTCACTTAGTAAATATTAACTGAATACAGTAGATGTGACACCAGAGACAGAATGAACAAAATCCTCACAGCCCTTGCCTCTTTCACATGAAAAAGCCCAATTTCAAAATCCAGATGAATTAACGACCAACTCCTTCCCTTCTGAAGTTGAGATTAAAGAGAGTGAGAGAGGCAAAGAAAGAGGGAGAGGCCGAGCTCTCCCTAGTGCATGAGCCAAAACATACATCCTGCTCTGCATGGCCAGCCATAAATCCATTGCTCGGTGAGGGTTCTTCCCAGCTAGCATGGCGACCGTTCGGAATATGCAGTATTCCTCCACAACTGGCTGTAATTACCAGCCAGATAATTACCCAGCCAACCCACTTCCCTTGCATATCTCTCAGCAAGCAGGGAACAGCACAAGAAAAAAAAGAAAGAAAAAAAAAAAACCTTCCTCTGTTCTTGTGAGCCTCCGAGCCTCCTAGCTAGGCCAACTTCAGGAGGTCGCTGCCAAAAGCACTCCCTCGGGAATACACTGGGTTGCCGAGCTGAGCGTGCCAATGCCTTAAATTGTTTTATGTTTTTTGTCTCTATGAATTAGAAACCATTAAGAGAAGGCCACCCAAGGAAACCAAGCACAAAATATATTTGGTTACAGATGGATGGGAGAGGTTTGTTCTTGCTTTTTTTTTTTTGCCTTTTTCTTCCCCTGAAGAGAGCAAGTACAATTTTTTTTTCTTTTTTGCATGGCTGATACTTTTGGAGCCAGGATCTTGGAGCCCAAAGAGTGTAAAGAGCACATCCTCCTGGGTGTGGAGGAGATGTTTCTTCTATAAACATCCTTGCCAAAGCAGCTGGGCTTGGCCCCGGATACTCCTCTCATATACATAGTCAAGGCAACCTTGGGAAGCATGAAAATCCTGGTGAATCAGCTGCAAATACTGGCAAGGGAAAGATACACTGCTGAGGCGGTAGCTGCATCTGTATGAGCTTCTGCTCAGATCCCCAACCAGCACCACCCCCATGTGACCAATGACTCACCACCATTCCAATTCCCAGTTAAGCAAGTAGATTCTGGAGTAAGTAACCTGAGTGCAAAATCCTGCATCTTCCTCTTACCATGTGAGCAAGTTATGCAACCTCTCTGTGCCTCAGTTTTCTCATCTGTAAAATGGGGAGAATAAGGGTACTACCTCATGCGGTTGATGTCAGGATTAAATGAGGTGATGTTTAGCGAAGTACATAGCACCTGTATGTGACCAATAAGTGTTACCTACTATTAAAAGTTACTTAACTCCCCTGTTAAATGAGCTATAGCTCAGTTTGCATAGCATTAAAATGGGGATTCTTTGGGGGTTTCTTGTAAGGATTAATTTGATGACATTTTATAGATCTGATCCCAATTCCAAAATAAATATTTTGGGCCCAGAACTGTACTGAATAGTCTATGTACATTATCTTATTAGATCCTTATATTAATTTGGAAAACTCAGCATTATTTGTCTATTGAGAAAATTAAGCCTCAGATAAGTCATGAGTTTGAAATTTCTCTCATGCCAAATTTGTCAGATTAGAAAGATTAGATGTCTGATTGCACCTACAAAGACAGATGACGTAAAGTAAGGTTGGATGTAAGTAAGTCTCCCCCTAGGATGGGAGTGTACAAATGCTTATTAGGGATCATTCTTGCTTTTCTTTCCTTCCATATTCTCTGAACAAACCTTGTGTCTAATTTGGCTTCCTTGTCTCAGGATTGGGAAAGCCAAAATAGCAGACTTAAGTTTGTGATAAGAAAGAATAATTATGCACCATCAATTACCCAATTAGAGTCTGGTTGCTACCTCAGTCTTATGGAAATGTGGTGGAGATGTTATCACTTGCCCAGATTCTCATCAACTTGTTTACACTGATCAAATCAAGTTTCTGGGGTATATTAACCCCACAAACGAACTTCGGCCACCATCATTATCGCCACCATCACCATGAGATCTCTACCATTATCACCAACACCAATTCCACCATTACTATGATCTCCACCACCATTACTCCACACCACTTTCCACCATCACCATAACCATCGCCACAATCACTATCACCCCACCACCACTACTTTACTAATTCTACCACCATCAGAATCACCATCTCCTCCACAACCTCCACCTCCCTCACCAACATCATCATCACCATCTCTACCCACCACCACCATAGTATCTCCACCATCACCACCATCCCCACTACACTATGACCATCACCATCACCACCACAACCATCATCTCTACCACCATATCACCCCAGGAGTCCTTAGCTGAACAAAATCTAAATTTTGGAGACAAGAAAGAGTTTAATTTAGAAGTTGGGCAATTGGGTGCATTAGCAAGAGTACATCACACTCAGTGTGTGACCCCATACATCTTCCCCTGAAGTAGTGAGCTTTTCTTCCAATCCACAGCTCCCTTTGCATTATCTGAGCTTGAGCTTCAGCCAAACCAGATGTCAGTTAAAGACAATAGATAACAGATGCTACCCAGAAAGATGTCTACAGGAAGAACATGTGTCTTAGAGTGAAACATGGATTTGAACCTAGCTCTACCACTTACCATCTCAACACCCACAAGCAAGAGCCTAAACTCCTCTAACACTCAGTTTCCTCATCTGTAAAATATGGAAAATAATTCCTGCCTTAGCAGATTTGAGTTGCAATTACATGAGTACCATGGCCAAACACCATGTTTAGCATATATTAGACTCTCAATAAATACTTAATCATATTATTAAACCAAGATGTCTAAAGAGCCTTATTCTCTACACACTCCCACTGAATACAGTTTTATTAGAAGCAAAATAGCAGCTCACTATCCTGGAGCCAACAAGAAAGAAGTTAATTCTGGAGAAATTAAAACATTTGAAACATTTAAAATGAAGGTCTCTTGTTTTTATTGTAAAAGAAACATGCTGTAAATTACAACACAGTCAGATGTACAAAGGAGATGCACCTTATTAGAAATGCAATCTCCCAAGAAGGGGTCATTTGGTGTGATGGAGAACACACAAACTCACAGTGTAATTCATTTGAGTTGACAAGCCCAAACTGGTACAGGTTGAGTATTCCGTATCTGAAATGCTTGGAACCAGAAGCATTTTGGATTTTGAAATTTTCTTTAGATTTTGGAATATTTGTACTATGCTTACCAGTTCAGCATCCCTAATTTGAAAATCCAAAACCCAAAATGCTCCAATGAGAATGTCCTTGGAGCGTAACGTGGGTGCTCAAAAAGTTTCAGATTTTGGAGCATTCTGGGTTTTGGATTTTCGAATTAGGGATGCTCAACCTGTATGAGTAAAAAGCTCTCTTCTATCCTCAGTCTTGCTTCTTGTTTTATTTCTCTTAGATTTTTTTTCCTCTCTGTGTCAAAAAAGAAAAGCTCATGGCTTCATCAAGGAAGTGAAATTCTCATTTTCCTAGACAGTTCTTACAGAGCACGGAGTTTATTGCCCTGTAATCAAAGGACTCCACCTGGAGCTCAAACACGGGTAGATGATGTGACAAGAAGATAGAAACAGAGCTGGAAGTTTGAGCTACCTTCCTTCCTACCCACACAATGAGAAGATCATCCGGATGCTCTAACAGGGCTTTGCTAACTACAGGTTCAATGTACCTAGGGGAAAAAAGAGGCAAAAACTAATCAGGGAAGATAAACCAGAAGGCTGCTAAGTTTTCATCAGTCAATGGCTAATGGACAAAAAGAGAAAAATGTCCTGAGTTGTTCATATAGTACTCAGTACAAAAGTACTCAATACAAAAAACTGACCTTTATTGTAAGATTCTGTTCTTTCTATATTTATTGTTATTAAAAATTCTCTTTGGCAATGGAACAAGAGCAATTCATGCCAGCCAGTCTTTCTTCTCCTTCCCCTACCAGCTATAAGGATCACTTTTCCCAATGTCTTTCCTTCTTTATCCAGAGAACGAGTTCTGCCTTTGTTAGATAATTGGACTAGGGTGCAGGAAGGAGCTTTCTTGATGCTGAACCAGAGGAAGGGAGGAACAGACCACTGCCACCAGAAAGAAAAGTGGGGAAAGGACTGAGAAGGTGGGAGGGTAAGCCAATCTGCATGGCAAACAGCTAGAAACACACGGGGAAGGAAGAGGGAGAAAGTTAAAGCCCTGCAGAAGGGGGTTGAGAAGATTTGGAAAGTTTGGGTGCAAAAACTTGGGGAGATAAGAAGGGAGAAAATGGGTTTTAAGAATTGGTCATGGACCAGGCGTGGTGGCTCACGCCTGTAATCTCAGCACTTTGGGATGCCCAGGTGGGTGGATCACAAGGTCAGGAGTTAGAGATCAGCCTGGCCAATATGGTGAAACCTTGTCTCTACTAAAAATACAGAAAAAATTAGCTGGGCGTGATGGTGCATGCCTGTAATCCCAGCTACTCAGGAGGCTGAGGCAGGAGAACTGCTTGAGACAAGGAGGCGGAGGTTGCAGTGAGCCGAGATCGTGCCATTGCACTCCAGCCTGGGGGACAGAGCTAGACTGCATCTCAAAAAAAAAAAAAAAAAAAAAAAAAAAAGAATTGGTCATTATGTCATTTAAAAACTAAGATGACTTTAGATGGGAAGATACTCTGTAGATGCTACTTCTTTGAAAGCAGCTTCACTTCAGAACTAAAACTTTTGAGCCACAGTTTTAATCAAGTGCCACATTTACAAACTGATAGTAATTGCAGATAGCAATTTTTAAAATGTTACCTAACTTGGCAAACAAAAGAGTTGGCAAACTTTTGTCAGCCTCCCAACCCAACGAGTTTTAGAATTGCTTTCAAATTTTACAAAGCATTGCTTTGGCACACCAAGTTGACTTTTCTCCAGGGACGATTCCTTTTATTCTGGTTATAATGGGATCTCTTCCTAGAAGAAAGCAGGAGGATAAACCACCTTCTGAGTTTAGTTAATATAAACAGTCTCTTAATACATTTTAAAAAGCTGATTATTGACTTATAAAAGTCTACATGATCCCAGGTTTTGAAGTAATGGAAATGAACATTTAATGTTTGCAAGTAACTTCCACAGGCCAGGCACAGGCTAAGGTACTTTGTGTGCCTTACTTAGGGAAACAGAGAAGGAGGGCATGAGACCTTCATAAAGGGGGAATTATGTTTGATGGAATACAGAGGAGGCAGGAAGAGAAAGGGGTCCAGGACGACTCCTGAATTTTTGTTCTGATCTACTGAATTGACAATGGGACATTCCTTACGCTAAGGGACGTTACGGAAGAGAAAATTCGGGAAGTGGGGAAAAAATAAGTTAGATTTGAGACCTGTAGGATCCCCAGTGCCTGACAGATAGACAAGTGCCAATGTCCAGGAAGCTTTGGGATAGGTGGATTTGAAGAAAAGATACAGAATAAGAGATCTGAATTTAGACATCAACCCTAAAGATAGTCCCAGACAAGACTTAAATTGGTATTGAGATTTACCCGACATCCCACCACCCTCTCTTCTTGTTCAAGTTTGGAAATCTTGTTCATTTTCAAGGGTTACTCCTAATCTCTTGTCATTTAACTCTCAGCGAACAATCTTTTTTTAAAGAAAAACTTTTAGATACAGGGGGTACATGTATTTCATTATTTTTATTTTTGAGACAGGGTCTCACTTTGTCACCCAGGTTGGAGTGCAGTGGCACAATCTCGGCTCACTGTAGCCTTTACCTCCCAGATTCAAGTGATCCTCCCACCTCAGCCCCCCAAGCAGCTGGGACTACAGGTATGTGCCACCACAACCGGCTAATTTTTGTATTTTTTGTAGAAACAGGGTTTTGCCATGTTACCCAGGCTGGTCTCAAACTCCTGAGCTAAAGTGATTCACCCTGCTCAGCCTCCCAAAGTGCTAGGATTACAGGCATGAGCCAGGTACATGTATTTTAGATACAAGTTGTACATGTGCAGGTTTGTTACATGGGAATATTGCATCATGCTGAGGATTGGGGTATGGATCCTGTCACCCAGGTAGGGAGAACACTATCTGATACATGGTTTTTCAACCAACGCCCCCCTCCTTAGCTTCCTCATCCATCTAGTAGTCTGCAATGTCTCTTGTTCCCATGTTTATGTCCATGGGTGCTCAATGTTTAGCTCCCACTTGTAAGTGAGAACATGCGGTATTTGGTTTTCTATTCCTCACTTAATTTGCTTAGGATTATGACCTCTAGCTCCATCCATGTTGCTGCAAAGAACATGATTTTGTTCTTTTCATGGCTGTGTAGTATTCTGTGGTATATGTGTGTCACATTTTCTTTATCTAACTTACCATTGATGGGCACCTGGGTTGAGTCCACGGCTTTATTATTGTGAACAGTGCTGCGATAAACATATGAGCGCAGGTGTCTTTTTGGTAGAATGATTTATTTTCTTTTGGGTATATACCCAGTAATGGAATTGCTGGGTCAAATGGTAGCTCTGTTTTAGGTTCTATGGGAAATCTCCAGACTGCTTTCCATAGTGGCTGGACTAATTTACATTCCCACCAACAGCGTATAAGGTCTCCCTTTTATCCACAGCCTTGCTAGCATCTTTTTTTATAATGGAGTCTCACTCTGTTGCCCAGGTTGGAGTGCAGTGGCACGATCTTGGCTCACTGCAAGTCCGCCTCCCGGGTTCACGCCATTCTCTCGCCTCAGCCTCCAGAGTAGCTGGGACTACAGGCACCCGCCACCACGCCCGGCTAATAGTTTGTATTTTTAGTAGAGACAGAGTTTCACCGTGTTAGCCAGGATTGTCTCAATCTTCTGACCCCGTAATCCACCCACCTTGGCCTCCCAAAGTGCTGGGATTACAGGCGTGAGCCACTGCGCCTGGCTACTAGTATCTTAATAATAATAGTTATAACCAATGTCTCTACAGGAACCATGGTTTTTAAAGCAGCTTTACCTTCCAGATCCCATTTTCTATAAGATTATTTGGGTTGAAAATGACAGAGAGTCAATTCATAACCAATTCATTAAGCAAACATGGAATGCCTTGGGTGGTGTGTCTGTTCAGGTCCTCCAGGAAGCAGAAGCCAAAATACAATTAGACAGTCAAGAGACTTATTGGAGGAGTTGCCTGTGAAGAATAAAGGAAGCAGGAGGAGGCTGGGAGAGCATTTTGACTATGACCCAGGTCTGACACCTGGGAAAGGAGACAGGGACAAAAGGAGGATTGGAAAGAAGAAGCCTCAGACTATAGCGCAGATTAAAAAAAAAAAAAAAAAAAAAAAAAAAAGTCTCAGTAAAGCCAATAGGAAGCCCAAGGGCAAAGACCTCTTACCCCATTAGATGAGTCCCACTTTGGAGCGAAATAATCCTGCTCTAGAAGCTGTACCATGCTCAGTCATTGGCTGGGCTGAGAGCAGCCCAGGGAGAATGTGGCTTCAAAGTGAACATCTGGCAGATCTAAAGCTACAGCTGTTGGAGATGTCCACTAGGCTGCTACTCACAGCAGAGAGAACTGAGCGGCACATGTTCATGAGTGCCCCAAGTAGCTGAGGCAGTCACAGCTGAATCCAAAGTTCACCTTAGAATAAATCATTAGATTTTCCTCCCGTCCCACCCCATCTCTCATATCTTCTTTCCTGCACAACTGCTTAATATTTCTTCTGGGCTCAATTAATAATAATAATAATTTGTTGATGGATAAGTGTCTCTTTATGGAAACTCAGCCATATGAGCTCATCAGCATTCAAGATTTAGATCCTGGTGAATTCTATGACATTTCCTGCCACCCCTTTCATATAATCAAAGATGGCCCTCAACAACACTAAGCATACATTATTCCTAGAGAAGCTCAACATTTTTTTTAGATGGGGTCTTGCTCTGTTGCCCAGGCTGGAGTACAGTGGCACAGTCTCAGCTCACTGCAACCTCCACCTCCCGGGTTCAAGCGATTCTCCTGCCTCAGTCTCCCTAGTGGCTGGGATTACAGGTTCCTGTCATCATGTCTGGCTAATTTTTTGTATTTTTAGTAGAGACAGGGTTTCACCCAGTAGGCCAGGCTGGTCTCGAACTCCTGACCTCTGGTGATCTGCCCCCCTTGGACTCACAAAGCACTGAGATTACAGGCATGAGCCACTGTGCCAGCCGAAGCTCATCATTTCTAAAGGAAATAACTCCACTCCTTCCCACCATCCATCCTGATCTCAGCAAAGGATTCACATGTTCACCCCTGAACCAATCCATCACCTGGAAGGGGACAGGGATGCTCTGGGTAGAAAGGTTGAATAGGAGAAAAAGGGTCCCCTGATTTAAAGTCCCACCTCCAGAATGACATGGAGCAGAAAAGGGCAGTCCAAAGGGCAGGACAGCCAATAACAGTAACAGATGTTGCCTGGCCCCCGTGCCACACAACTATAGTCCCAGCTACTCAGGAGGATGAGCAGGAGGATTGCTTGAGCCCAGGAGTTCCGGGTTGTCATGCACTATGCTGATGGTGTGTTTGTACTAAGTTCAGCATCAATATGGTGACCTCCTGGGAGTGGGGGACCACCAGGTTTCCTAAGGAGGAGTGAACCAGCCAGGCTGGAAACGGAGCAGGTCAGACCTCCTGTGCTGATCAGTACTGGATTGCACCTGTGAATAGCCACTGCATTCCAGCCTGGGTAACACAGCAAGACCCCATCTCAATAAAAAATAAAAATTAAAAATTAACAGATGTCCGCTATCACCCTCAAGACAAGCTGGAAAAGAGGGAGATTCTTCTGCTGGGAAGAGAACTCACAGATCAGGCTAGGTGAGCATCATTTTATTTTATGGACCACCAGTTGAAGGTTATTTTGACCCAAAGTCCTAAGGTTGGATTTTGTCAAGCACTGGGTTAGATAAAAGGGGGGAAAATTATCAAAATAAAACTGATTATATTTATTTTTAGAACAATAAATAGATACCAGTGAGAAATGTTAGGAAGGGAGGGGAATCCCAAAATTAAACTTCAACAGTAGTAAGTACTATTGACAAATGATATATTTTCCAAATGAAAGACATGAACTATGGAATTCTCATCCCGGGTCTGCTACCTTTGAATTGCATGTTTCAGCTTGAGGCTTCTACAACGTAATACCATAGACTGGGTGGCTTCTAAACAACATAAATTTATTTCTCACCGTTCCAGAGGCTGGGAAATCCAAATCAAAATGCCAGCAGATTTGCTGCCTGGCGAGAGGGCCTGCTTTCTGGTTCATAAATGGCCATCTTCTCACTGTGTCCTCACATGGTAGAAAAAACTGGCGAGAGAACTCTCTGGGGTCTCCTAGAAGAGCACTAATCCTATTTATGGGAGCTCTACCCTCATGACCTAATCACCTCCTGAAGGCCCCACCTCCTAATACTATCACATTTGGGGCTAAGACCCCAACATATGAATTTGGAGGGAACACAGACATTCAGTCTACAGCACTGAACAACCCTGAGCGTTAACCTCCTTGCTTTCTTATATCAAAATAAATGAGGGAGGAAGGGAGAATCTATTTATAGTAAGATCATTATAAGAATTCTTTGAGATCATAAGTTAAGCACCCAGCACAGTGCCTGAAACTTAGTGCTGAATATATTTGTGTCTAATATTATTAAACTTGAAAGATTCCATGCACTTCAGCTACCATTGGCTTCCAGCTCTCTAATACCAGTCAGCCATGCCAGCCAAAAAAAAAAAACCCTTTGCTTCATAATCCAATAATCCCATGGAGCCCTAAGAAGGGAAGGAAAGTGTTCCAAGCCCAACGGGCTATTTTTGGAGATGAAACATCATCCCATTATTTGCAGAAGAAGAAAAGGGAATGGGTCAGAGAGTGGTTCTTCATGTTATCCTATGCCTACAGTTAATTGTGCCTGGGGGAAGGTTCCATTAGAGAGCGAGAGCGAGCAAGCAAGAGAGAGAGAGAGAGAGAGATGTTTCAACATCCTAGAATACAAAGCACCTTTACAATTGTCCTTGATTTATTGCATCTCTGAGGCTGTCTTTTAGCTCCAACCACAGTCTGTTTTGGGTCCGCCCAAGTTTCTGCTCATGTAGATACAAGGGCCTGGCACAGGCCTGGAGAGGAGAAAGGGCCCAGAGATTCTCATGTGCCCTCCTCTTAGGCTGGCCCCTTCTTGAGGCCATGAGGACACTCCAAGTTTCTTGAGAGTCCTTCCTATCAGGCTTTGTTTATCTTTTAGAGGCTCATCTGGCCAATCTAGATAATTCAGAGATTTCAAAAAAGGATGCAGGTATAAAAAAGGGCTCTTCTTTGGAGATCTTGGTTTGCAGGCATGTTGGCTGCCAGAAGGTGGTGAGGTACTGGCTTTCTCTTTGGTGAGATGAAATAAAGCAAATGGCAAAGGAGAAAGTGTTCCCTGAATAAATATTGATGGGAGGAATGAACTTTTAACTTTAGCAGGTGGGTAGTGAGTGCTGTGCCTAAGCTTCCCATGTGGAACCTACACAGGGAGGGGCCTGGCATGCTCAGTCCAACTTCTTCATGGTCATCTTCAGTGAAATGAGAAGTTGGCATGGCTTTTGAAAAGAGCTTAGGTCAAGACCACACTCTCTAAGCTTGTACCATGAAAACACACAACTAGAATGCTAGTATTGGGTGATTATTGTGTGTTAGACTATGTACCTCATTCAAATTAAACTTGCTAGGAGAAAATTACAGAATGCTTCTGTCACTCCATGAGTGCAACAGTATCAAAGTACTCACTGTGCATTGTAAGAGTAATCAAAGTAGCCCCAAACAGCAATGCTAAGAAGGCAGTAGTATTATCATGATTACCATTTTCTAAATAAAAGTGAAGTTCTAATAAAAAGAAGGAAAATGACCCATCGACTCCACTCCTAGCTATGTACCCAACAGAAGGACTGCATATGCTGCAAACGTATGAGAATGAGAATGTTTATAGCCTCTTTATTCAAACTAACCACTCAGAATGGTACAAACACCTATCAAAAGGAGAATGGATTGTATTAATGGGCTAATGGATTGTGGTGTATTCGTGCAAAAATACTATGTCAAGATAAGAAATGAACTATTGCTACACACAACATGGATGAATCTCACAAATTACTAGGTTGAGTGAAAGAAGCCAGACACAAAAGGGTATATTCTGCATGATTCCATTTATGTGAATTTCAAGGACAGGCAAAACTAGTCAATAGAAGATAGAAGTCAAGGTAGTGATTACCTCTTGCTGTGGGTATATATACACTAGGAAGCAACATGAGGGAACATTATGGGGTACCATAGCTTAATCTAGTTGATGGTGATATAGACACACACACACATACATACATACACACACACACACACACACACACACACACACATACACACAATCACCTAACATTAATGCACTTTACTTTTTGTGTTTCACCTGAATAAATTAGCAAGGAACAAAAGAAAGAAGGAAGGTGGGAGGGAAGGAGCAAAGAAACTTGCACAAAGTCTTCCAGCTAGCAAATGGCAGAAATGAAATGTGATCCCAGGTCTGCCTGGGTTTGCAGAACACTAACTACTGGGATATACCATATACCAGCTGGGTTTATGTTGACTATTGAATAAACATTTGTTGATGGATGAGTGTCTCTTTATGGAAACTCAGCCACATGAGCTCACCAGCATTCAAGATTTAGATCCTGGTGAATTCTCTATGACCTTTCCTGCCGCCCCTTTCAATATCTTTCATGGTTCTTAGTGGGGAAAATGTAGCTACAGCAAGGATATAATGAGCTGTTACTGCAAGCTGAAGTTCCGTGGTGAATCTGGCCTCTTGTTCTTAGGCCATCATCAAGGGAATGTGGACAAGAAGAACAGAGACAGGTATTGATCCTTGTTCATTATTTAAACGCATATGGCGGCAGGGAGCTTTGCTCAATAAAACCCTGACAGAGACGCCTCAGGCCTGAGTGATGACCCTAACAACATCCATGGGTGCCTTACGGGGCCTGAGACTCAGTTTCCCCAACTAAAAAGAAAGAGTATTGATTGGCCCATCTGGTCAATCCAGATGGCTTCAGGGACTATTTTGTTTACTCTTACAATGTGCAATGAGTGCTTTGATATTTTTGTACTCGTGGAATGGGGGAAGCAGTCTGTAATTGTCTCCTACTAAGATTAATTTTAAAAACAGTATCTAAAATATTACAAATTTTTTAAATTTTCAGGTTGTTCAGAGTGGTTAGACATCTCAAACCTGGCAAGACAGACTTTTGTTTTCACGCTCAGCCACTGCTTGCCAACACTGTGAGCTTGGGAAAATGGCCTTACCTCTCTGAGCCTCAGTTTCCACTTCTAAAACTGGAGATTGGATTCATATATACCTCATAGGGCTGTTGCAAGTATTAGATGAGTTAGAACGATTAACACAGTGCCCGATACAGGCTACTCTTTCAATAAATATGCTATTCTAATATCAATAATTATGATAATGATTAATGATGATCAGAACAACTAGTATTATATACCCTGGAGTCACTATTTAGCAGTAATCAAACTAAGTAGCATTTTCAACTAGCATTTCAACCCTAACAATGACTTCTGACAAATCACCCAGTCTTTCCCATTCTTCATTTTCCCACCTAGTCTCTAGGACTAGATGACCTATGAAGGCTCTTTTAACTCTAAAACTGGGATTCTGTAAAGTAAGGTCTTGAGGATACTTCATCTGTGTGCCCAAATTTGGAGCTGTGGCTTTGCAGAGCGGGCTTCTGGAGTCTCATTTCTATGAGGACTCTATAGATTGGGAGAGGGGAGTTGGTAAAGAGAATTCCTTCCGTGACTGATAAAGAAGCCCTGGGACTCTGGAAAAATCTTTTCACCAAAGTTTTCCCCCTAACACTTATGGTAATTACACAAGTGGGCAATGTGCTCTCAGAAGTTGAGGCCACTCATTCATTCATTCCATATGCATTTGAGGTGTCTCTCAAGCCAGTGAGGCTGTACATGTCCATTTTCAGTTATAATGAGGCAAGGGAGTAGCAGGAAGCTCCAGGCGGATCGCCTGAGTTCCACACACCTGAGCTCTGCACATTGAGTTTCCTGCCCCCATTGTGTAAACAAAACCCTACCTTCTTCTACAGATTAGGGTCAATAATTCCTCTTGGTATGATGATTCCTTACTGGCTCATTTCTGGACCTAGGAAATCCAAAGCACCCTGGCTACATCTGTAGCCTGTTGTTCAATGTGACATTTGTTCTGCCCCTAAAAGTGTGTCCCCTTGGGCACCAGGACTTCCAACCTGGAAGAACCCAGAGTGGAGGGAGCAGGAAACACAAAACACCCCCAACAGGTCACTAGGAATGATACTAAGTGAGGCCATTCCTGCTTCCACTCCCTGGATACTGGACACATAGTTTTTTCTGTTGAGGACCCAGCACCATGTAGCGGTCTCCGATCTAATGCATACCCTGTATCCTGAAAGGGGGCTCCCATCCATCCACAGTGTTGCATCCAAGTTGGTGTTTCAGCTACATCTTTAGAGGGCTGTTTCAGAACTCTATGAAGCTAGCTTTTTCTAGAGTGTGCGGTATGTTTTACAACTAAGAGTTATAAATTTGTGTCCACTAGTCACATGCTCTGTTGCACGGAATTCCATGCGTATAGATTGGGCATTCTACAAGCACCCAGATAATGGTGTTGGCTGAAGATCTATGGGCAGGAAAAGCAAACCCATACCTGCATTCAGTGTCTATCCTGATGAACTGCTGCTCCTTCCAGGATAAAAAAGGGCCTAATATAATCAACTTTCCACCAAGTTGCTGACTTTTCTCCTCAAGGAACAGTGCCATACAGGGCTCAGTGTTGGTCTCTGTTGCTCACCCATTGGACATTCAGAGGCAGCACTAGATCAGCCATGAGAAAGAGTCCATTTTATTGGGTTTCTATGAATGCCAACTGACCAAGTCTTTTTGTCTACTTGTGTTTTCAGTACTTTTGTATGCTTTCTATCGTATGTATTTATATGTGTACAAACATCTTCACACATTATACCGACTCCCTTAGTTCTATCCACATGCTTATAGCCGAGACCTCCTTGCCTTTGAACTTTCAGCCATTTTCCCAGGCCCTTGACCAGGCAGCCAGGCCATTAGCTATTGCCCAGGAATCTATACATATTCTCACCTCAACTCACTTTTCCTTCTATATAAAATAAATAATAGTGTTCACCTGTCACAACTGCCAATCAGGAATATTTTCCCTATTCACTTCTCGTTCAAAGCAGCCCCTGAATGTGGCTGTGATGCTGCACTACACATTTCCAGCTTACACCTGCATACGAAGTTTACTCATCCATAACCAAGTTTGCGGCCAGATTGTGCTGACATTTAACCCTAGGCATTGGCCTGGCAGCCAGAAGAGAAGGTGGGTGAAGCTCCCAAGAGGGTGGCATATGTTACCCTAGCAATAGTGTGTCATTGCCATTCAAAGACCCCGCACCATCCACCAAATGTGACAAGAATATCCGAGCCTCACACATCCCTATTGTGGCCGAGAAGATGAAATGAGGATTCTTCCTGTTCACAGCTTACAGCTTCATTCCTCTTTTGAATGTTGTGGGAAGAAGATGATGGTTCCTAGATATAAGGGCAAGATCTCTGCAGCATCTCCTAGGGGAGAATTTCAGGCATTTACTAGAAGGGATAGTCCAACTCTTCAAGCTCTGGAGGTTCATGGAAGTCTCGAGAGCCAAAATATTCATGGGAATTCATCTAGATGTCCCTATACCATATGTCAGAATCTGATATTTTTCCACCCGGGACCCAGATCTTATAACAGATCAGCCATGGCTAAGCATTTAAACCTTTCTGGAGCTCTGTGACTATCAGGTCCTGAATCTACTTTTCAGCTGTGTTCACTCTCTCATTTCAGGTAATAAGATCTTTGTAAGGTATCAAAAAAGCCTCTTTGGCTCTCACGCTTACCCTTTAATTTCTTGATATTGGCCATCAGTTTCTCATTATTCCTCTGTAAGGCATCAGTATAACTCAGCAATAACCAGCCAACTCCACTGTCTTTAAATGCATTGCTTCCTTCCCCCTGTGTCTTTCAAATATCTGAACCACTATACCTGCAAGTTTGTTCTCCTCCAACAGGGTATTTTTCTGGGTCACCATCAGTTATATCTTCAGCAATTAGGCTTCCACCTCACATCAGGGACTATCAGTGACAACATCTTGGATCGCTTGGGATGGAGTCTTCTTTGCCTGTTGCTCTGTGAGTGGGCCAGTCCCAAATCCTCAAAATCTTACCCTCTGCTTTCTTGGATCCCTCTTGGTAACACCTGGGTTAGTTTGGATACTCTAAAAAGCAGACGCTAAGACAAGATTACACCTGCAAGAGATTTACTGGGGGTAATACCTGGGAAAGATGAAGAGGAGGAAGCAGGAATAAGCAGGAAGAGCCATCAGACCATGATGAAGATCCAACACCCACAGAAAGAGATAGTGAAGGAAGGAGTATTAGGTGGGAAGAACCTTGGACTGTAGCTTAGTTCTAAAAATCTTTTAGCCAGGCCAGTGAGAGAAGTCCTTAAGCCAAAAGTTCCCTCTTAAAGAAGTTCCACATCCTCTGGAAAGGAACCTGCATCAGCACCCCTAAATAACTCAGTTACTGGCTGGGGAAGCATCGACTCTTTGCAAATCTGGTAGTGCATCCAGGAGGAAGGCAGCTGGGACTATCAATCAACAAAGTGTCTCATTACAGGAGATCTGAGTGGCACATTTTCATGGTCACCAGACTGATAAACTCCAACTGACCTGAAATACCTACCATGTGTGCAAAAATGTGCTAGACACTGAAACCACAATGGTCATTAAGGTAGACATGGTTTATGTTCACAAAATCAAATGGAAAACATTAACATATGTGTAACATATGAAAATTATGTCACAAATATAACAAACTGTTATATATTAATGCATTAAATGTAAATATATTACCCTGAGATAACATATCATATGCACCTATATTAAAATATAATTTCCAGCCAAAATAACTGTTCAAAAAGAGCACAATATCATCTATGTTAGTACATTCTATGATGTTCACACAATGACAAAATCACCTAACAATGCATTTATCGGAAAGTATCCCCATTGTTAAGTGACACATTACTGTATTGGGAGGGTGGCATTTGGAGTTTATTTCAGTCCTGACTTTTTTGTTTTCAGTGCCTTTGAGATACCCAAGTGAAAATGTTTGGAACACATCTGGTTATATGCCCTGGAGCTCAAAGGAGTTGCCTGTGAGACAGATACTTATTCGAGAACCACGACAGATACGTATTTGAGAACCACTAGTATTTAGATGGCATTAAACCCATGGGGCTGGATAAAGTCACCTAGGGAGAGAATATAGGGTAGCAAGAGAAGAGGGCCTATGGCTAAGCCTAGAGATCCTCAGATACAGGTTGAATACCCCTCATTCAAAATGCTTGGGACCAGAAGTGTTTTGGATCAGTTTTTTTTTTTTCAGAATATGGAATATTTGCATTACTCTTTCCACTCCAACATCTTTAATCCAAAACTCCAAAACCCAAGATGTTCCAGTGAGCATTTCTTTTGAGCATCATGTCACCACTCAAAAAGCTTTGCATTTTGGAGCATTTCAGATTTTGGGTTTTCAAACTAGGGATGCTCAATCTGTTATTTCACAGCTGTTGAATGTATTTAATGACTGTTTTTCCTTTTTTCAGGACCACACATAAGGAGGAGGATAAGGCAAAGAGATAGAGAAGAAACAGACAGAGAGGTAGGATAAGGGTAAAATGGGAGATTAATAGGAGATAATGAAGTTACTCAAGTCAAGTGATATAGTTTGGATCTGTGTCCCCTCCCAAATCTCATGTTAAAATGTAATCCCTAATCCTGGAGGTGGAGACTGCTGAGAGGTCATTGGATCATGGGGTCAGATTTCTCCCTTTGCTGCTGTTCTCATGATAGAGTTCTCATAAGATCTGGTTGTTTAAAAGTGTGTAGCACCTCCCTCTCTCTCTCTTCTTCCTCCTCCAGCCATATAAGTCATGCCTGCTTCTCCTTTGCCTTCCACCATGATGGAAAGTTTCCTGAGGTCTCCCCAGAAGCCACTATGTTTCCTGTATAGCCTGCAGAGCCAATTAAATCTCTTTTCTGTTTAACTACCCAGTCTCAGGTATTTCTTTACAGCAATGTGAGAACGGAGTAATACACGAAGTGAGGAAGCATGTCAAGAGAGGAGAGTACTCAAATTCTGTCAAATGCTGCTAAGAAATGACATAACGAGCAGTGAAAATACGCATTGGATAGTCAAGTACAGTGAGTACTCCAACATCCCCACTGGATTCAGCAGCATCATGGAGATCTTCAAGCACTGTCTGGAGACAGGTTTGAGTGGCCAGATGGAGATGTAAGCCAGACTGGAGGGGATTAAGATTGGGAGGTAAGAAAATAGAGGCAGTGAGTTTACAGAACTTGATCTAAAACTTGTCATTTAAAGCAACATCTACACCCTTGATTGTATGGGTATGAGGAAGTATGCATTATGCTTCCATTATTACATGCATGATTGTGAAAAAGGAAGTAGAGGTCTCAGAAGATTTTTCTGTGAGCTTTGAACCTTACATTCCGATGAGTTCAAATCCAGTGGAATGCACAGCTTTGAAGGAGTAAAGCTTAAGTACTCACATGCATACACACATTCACTCATACACACACGCACGAGCATACACACACACGCACGAGCATACACACACATGTTAAGAGGCTTATATACAAGCTCATAATTCTTCCTGGACATCAAATGGTTCTTTATAGCCTCCATTTTGGTGACCTAAGTAGACTGAAAATTAAACAGAAACATAAGGATTAAATTCCCCTGGAAGTACTAGGGCTTTGAGGAAAAATAAGGAGAAAGAAAGAAATGTCTGGATGGTCACGCTGTGGTTTCTCCTTTCCTTCATGATTCCAAGACTTTGCAAATGCCGTTGTAGAGAGCCTGCCAAACCTATGTGACATCAGCCAACATATCCCACCAACACCCTACCCTAAAGCCTCTTCTCCCACGCCATCCTCTGTGTGCGAGAAGGAAGTGGGATGACAGATCAGTGTTCTCATGTATTAATGAGTGGAAGCAGAGCCTCACAGACTAGCTGGCTTCTTAGAGAAAAGAATTCAGACACAATAGCCTTTGTTTTAATCTGAGAGCCATGTATTTATGACAAATTGGGAGTGAACAAGCCTGGATAGGGACCGTGCCATCTTGCAATTCTCTGGTGCTTTTGCAGTAAGCCATGGCTGTAGAAAGCTGTTTTTTCAGTCTGGCTAGGATCCATTTTACCTGTCAGTTGGCATGAACCTTTCCCACCAATATACATATGAAGCAGACCCTGCCAATCAGAGCATTCCATTAGCAATTGGTCCAAAGATGAGCACATGACAACTGACGGCCAATCAGAGAAGTGAGAGGCTTAATTCCAAGTCTTTTGTTGGAACTACCAGGGGAGGGGGTGGGGGAAGGAGTTCTTTTCTGTTTTACTTCAGGCTAGGAGAATAGCACACAAAACTGGAATGGTTAGTATCATCTTTTCATATTATTACAAAGGGAAAACCTCCAGATAATAGAGCCCATACAGGGAAAAGTAGGACCCAAGAGGCAACAGGATAAAATGAAGTCCTGAATGTACAATTTCAGCCCTTGTATGAAGCCATACCTAAATTTAAATCTACAGCTGTCTTTTTTCAGTAACTTGAGCCTATAAATTTATTTTCATTTAATCCTGTTGCATTGGAATTCTGTAGTTTTCAACTGAGAGACCTTCTTGAGCCAGCCTTATTTCAGGTGCCTATAATATTATGAGATATCATTTGGGAAATTATCCTATCTTCAATTTACCCATGGATAAATGACAGCAGGGATTGTTCCCATCTGAGCAGTGCTTCACACATTCTAGAATGCCCTTACCAAGGGTGACTATTCAAAGTGGCCATTTTAGTTGGTATAGCCAACATCTGCTGACATCTGTTCCAACAGGTTCATCCCCATTCCATCTAGATTGCTAAATATTTTTAGTATCACCTCTGCTTTCAACTACATGATTGCATTTACATTGCAAATCCAAGCGGGAGCCAACCAAAGACTAATGCCACAAAGCTCATTTTATAGATAAGCAAGATAAAACTCAGAAGTGACTTCCTCAAGCAAATAAAAGGCCAAAACTGGTTTGAAATTGGGAATTCGGTTTCAAGGCTCTGCACCTCACTGTGTTCTACACAGAATGCAACTTATATTTTTTCCCTTACTATTTAACATAAAAGGGACTAAGGGATTTATATGCATTGAACAGACACAACAGACTCCAAGAGGTAGGTTTTATTGGAGCCTTCATTTCACATATAAGGAAGCTAACATTCAGTGACGTTAAGGTCACTTTCATAGGAAATGACAAAAACAGGATTTGAACTCAGATCTCCCTGCTCTAAAAAACGATGTGGCTCCTACGCTCAAGAATCTAGTTGTAGAGACAGGATATGTAAACCTTTATTAACCATAGGCTAAAAAATATATTGGATATAATTATACTCAGGTAATATATACTATATGAGATCAGGACAAAGAGCAGTTAACCAAGTTTGAGCCATCAGGAAAAGCTATCATACAGGATTTCAAATTAACTCCAGAAACATTTTGTGATTTTATAATTCTGTGGCTACTTTGTAGAAACTTGATGAGCTATACTAAAAGTCTTGAAGAATGAATGGGGCTTAGTTATACAGAGACAAGGGAATCCTGGGCAAAATGGCCAATACTCAAAGGCATCTAAACATGGTAAAAACCTAGAATGTTCAAGAAAGAAGACCAATCTGCCTAGGTTAGGATTGGTAAATCAGCTTTGTTTTACATGCCAAGCCCCATCATTGAGAGTGGCTGCCTGGAGTACTGTGTTAAAGACAATGGTGAGCTACTGAGGAGTCTGGAAGAAGAGTTCTGAGATTGCTTGTTGATGTCTGCCATGGACATGGGATGGGAACCTGAGAGCCCAAGTGCCACGTATTTGCCATCATAAGATTGCGGAGTATAAGATACATTAAAGGATGAGTAAGGAAGAAGGCTGAAGAACTATCTTAGGGTAAAGAACACAGAATTATTTTCTGTGATATGGAGTTCAGACTTGATTTACTTGATTTAACAGACAAGAAGGAGTGATTGTGAGTTCTTGAACAGAGGCGGCTCTAAATAAAATTAGAATAACTAGAAGGCAGCCATATGAAATTTGGTTCCTGATCATTCACAACAGCTTCTGGACTGACCTTCTTTTCAGAGAGTTGGTCATCAGGTATCAAAGCAATGCTTTAAAAGGAAGAAACAGATGATTTATATACTCACTGTTGGGTTAAAGCTCAAGTTGGAAGCAAGCACCTGGCCTTCACCATGGATGCTGGATTAGCTAATAAAATCCCAGATATCGCTGGCACAACCCTGACATCCTCCCAATGGTCATTAGGCCATCTCAATTGTATTCTTGAATATAGTGTTTCACAGGCAGAAATTATGTCACTGAAGATTTAGATCTGGCCCAATCTCATCACAGGTCATCATCCTGTGACACTGTTATCATTCTCATCCTCATCATCACTCAGATTTATTGAGCATATAGTATGTGCTAGGGTAAGCCTTACTTTACATTTTTATCTCAGTTTATCCTCATAACAACCCTGAGTAGGAGTAGCATGCCCATTTGACAGATGAGTAAAATGAACCTTCGAGAGGTAATGTAAATTGACCACGGTGGAACTAAAGATACAAACTGAGGTCTGTCTGCTGCCAAGGCTGTGCTCTTTACCATTATTGTCACTTAGGCCACGGCTGTGCACATGTAGGCTCCAGCAAATACTATCCCCACTTACATCATAGCATGCAAACCACAGACAAGCCCATGTGAATGCCTGTTGGGACTGTGAATGCTGCCCCACTCCTTCCCCAGATAACAACAGAGCCACAAGAACCTGGCAATTAATTTTTATGTTAACCACACACCCCAAAATACCTACTGTCAAGAAAGAGGCTTGGGAGTGTCTCATCCCCAAAACATCATTTCCAGGGTTCATAGTAATATTTCCAAAGCATTAAATACAGTTCTGAAATTGGGGCACAGGGGACCTCACAGATTTTGATTTCATAGATTGTGATCGAGGTTAAACCCCTACTTTCCCAAGATCTGGCCACAACCCCTTCTGGAAACCTGGGCTTTATTTTAATTTTCTGAAACATCTAAAACTCCCAGAACATGTAAGGGCAATTCTCTGCCCTTATATGCTCTGTTTAGGAGGGTGACAACAACAAAAACAAAACCTCCAGATACAACTAATGCCATATTTCAAATACATCTCTGAGAAGTTGGAAGGTAACCAGAAACTCTCCCATTCTGATTTTCTGGTTCAAGAAGCCTTTGTTTATTTAACTGAGACATAATAAGTCAATTTTCTTTTACCTTTAACCTCTTAAAACACTCTGTGGTTTTTGTAGATTTCCTTTTCACATGTACAATGACATCAGCTTCTGTTTTTATTACATATAAAAGTTGCCCACTCTCCATCAAGCCCATTTTGGTAAGAATCCATTTCAGGGTATTTAAAAAACTGAGTAGAACATCTCCCCAAAAGCTAACGAAGTTTTCTTTCTTTCCCCTCACGTTTACTTGAATCTGTACAATGGAATCATTGTAAAATGTTATGAAAGTGTGACTCCCCAAAACATTTATTTGAAAAATGAAGATTCCTATGGTCCAGTTTGTAGTGCCTCATCACTGCATCAGTCAGGATAAGTTGAGTTTTACTGCAGTAACAAACAACCCCCAGTCTTAGGCCCTTAAAACAGCAGAGCTCAATTTCTCATTTGCACTACGTTTCTTTTACACATCATCTAGGGGTCTGCCCACCATGTCCTCACTCTGGTACAAGGCTAACAGAGCAGCCAACATTTAGAAACTTCCTTATTACTATGGTAGAAAGACAGAATGCTGTTAATTGCATGCTAGCTCTTAAAACTTCCACCCAGAAGTGACACATCACTTCTACTCACATTTAGTGCCAAAGTAAGTCACCTGGCCATGGCCCCTCCTCATTCCAAACTGCATGAAAATCCAATTCTTTGCAGAACAAAGTCAGAAAATATTGAATAGCCCTCATGACTTCTGCTATCGCCACATCACACTATCTGGGAGGAAGGTGTGCACAACAGTAGTGATGAAAGCTCATCTTTATTGAGTGTCTACTAAGTACCAAATAAGAGATTAAAGGTTTTGCATGTACCGTCTCCTTTAATCCTATGACAACTTTAAGGATGAGGAACAAGAGAGGGACAAGGAAGGTTAGTCACTTGTTCAACATCACCCAGCTAGTAAAGGGTTGTGCTGGGACTTGAATCCAGGTATTCCAGTTCCAGACTGTTTGCTCCTAACGGTTCACCAAAAATGCCTCCCAATGCTACTATTGCTACTGCCACTAATACTCCTCTTAGCTCAATTTTTCTCATCTATACAATGAAAATAATAATCCCTACTTATGATACTTGCGGGTTACCTGAGAAAATAAAGCAAAAATGCTTCCTAATGTAGGGTTTTGCCATATACTATCTGGTTTGATCCACACAATTATCATGTAAGGTGAATTGGTAAAAATTTATTAACCCAATTTTATAAGGGAGAAAACAGACTCAACAGGATACTTAATGTGTCCAAGGTAACAAGTGAGTAGGGTCAAAGCTGGGATTCATGTCTTCTGAATTACAAAACAATGCTGTTCACAATACAACCTATCTTGTCCCCCAGAACATCTCAAAATCAAGGATTCTAGAAACCAAAACCAATCAGTTTCGATCAATGGTGCTGACACTCCACAGCACTATAGAAGCACATAGAGGGAGACATCCCAGAGCAGTTTCTTAGATTTATTCCCAAACACTCAGAAAGGTTACCACAATTTTTGGTGGGAAAAATAACGGAACCAATAACTGTTAGAACTGATTTTATCCTGAGCTATATCTAGGAGAGGCAGCATTCTTACTGCCACCCTCTAATCGCACACACCCAAGGCAGACATTACTAGCCAATCAGAACAGTTCCCTACTAAGACCAGATACAGCTTGAAAATCATCCTCAACACTATAACCCAGGCAGTCACCAAAGTCAGTCATGGCTGGGACTCAAGAAGAAACATTTTGCCATCTGTTCTGATTATCTATTGCTGCACAACACACTACCCCAAGACTTCATGGCTTGAAACATGATTTTCATTTCTCACTATTTTCTGGGTCAGGGATTTGGACAGAGCTCAGCTGGACAATTCTCAATATGTGGTTTACTAAGGGCCACTCAGTTGTATTTAGCCAATGGCTGAAAGTTCAGGGGGTTCCAAATGGCTTCAGTGGTAACTTCTAGAAGGCTGGGCTCAGCTGGGCCACCTCCTATTCCATGTGGTCTCAGAGCCTCTCCATGCGGAATCTTCAGCACAGTAGTCTGACTTACATAGCTGCTCAGGGTTTCGAGAGTGAGCAGGAAGTGTAATCTTCTAGCCTTTAACTCCCAAACCGAATGTCACTTCCTCCATATTTTATTGGTCAAGCAGTCACAGAGCCCACCCAGATTCAAGGGGCAGAGACATAGACCTCACCTCTCCATGGAAGGCATGTGAGAAAAAAAATGTGTGGCCATTATTAAGCAAACTTTGTCTTTACTCTAGAACAAACACAATGGAACAGATGGACTTCCCTTCAAGAAAGATCTTCTGAAGAACCTTCTCCAACTTTAAGTCTTCCCAACTCCCTCTGTCATAAAAACTAAAATGAAGCCCACTGCCTTCTAAGAATAATTGCTTTTCTTGATTGAGCATTTACTAAATGCCAGGCATTAGGCAAAATGCCTCACATGCATTACCTTACAAACACTACACAACAGCCTTGAAAAGCAGAAATTCATATCCTCAGTTTACTGGTAAGAAAACTGAGGCTTCCCAGTTTAAGTACCTTGACCAAAGTTACACAGACAGGATGCAAAATTTTCTTTGTGTGGTTCCAAAGCTTTTAACTTCCCTGTTTCTTAGACAAGGATTACCACTGCAAAGTGTTTTTATGGACAAGTCTATGCTGCTATCTGACTGTCACCACACTTCTTCCTTATAACAAGCAAGACCCATAGCCAGGGACTGGCGAGACCCTCAAGCTACAAGATCTTCCTGTGACGAGCACAAACTTTGAGAAGCATCTTGTGTGGGGCAGAATCCCAGTGAGAAAAACTTTCTGAATTCCTTCCTGGAAATAACAGCCAGGTTGGAGTCCCTAAGAATCAGAGTCTGCAACACTGTCAAATGGAACTCTCTGAGGTCATGGAAACATCTATGTCTGCACTATCCAATATGGTAGCCACTAGCCACATAGAGATATTGCATGCTGGAAATGTGGCTGGAGCAATGGAGGAACTGACTTTTAAATTGTATTAAGTAGCCATGTGTGGCTAGTGGCTACCATATTGGACCACACAGGTCTAGAGGGTTCAAATTCAAGTGTTCACTCCCTCAACCCCGAGCTGTTTTACCAGCTGACTCCACCAAGCCACTTCTCTTCAACCAAGTAAGGATCCATTTGGACAGGCTTTCCAGATGGCATGCCAATAGCCTGTAGTCCATAAGTAAAAAGAAATAGAAATTTCTATTTATTTATAAGGGCCATCCTGTTCCTGTTCCTGAGTCACAATCATCCCTATTGCATTAGGCCAAGTCAGCCTCACTGCTTTGTCACCTGGCTGGCCCTTGAAGGTGTGATTTTGAGAATGCCATTCCACATACTCTATCTCATACAATTTTTTGTCTCAGATCCATAACATTCCTTATTAAAATCTCCAGCAGCTGATAGCTTTGTCCCTTCCGCCCTGCAGTAAAGTTCCCATCTCTCTTTCCAAATTTCCTTTCTGTTAACATCCTACCTTGTCTAATTTAACTCCTGTAGCCTTAGATAATGAAAAGATGTAGGTGAAAAAGGAACTCAAACTTCCTAGATATGGAAGGTGGCTCCATCAGATGGCAGGGTTTAAATGTTACCTCCCTTATGAGTTAGACAAAGGCATTCATAGTTTTTGCCCTCTTTGAATTTAAAATTTGTTGTGCTGCCACAGGGGAAAAAAAGGTATGATATTGGTATTCCCCTTATACAGTTGATTTCATGGGAGTTTGATGGTTCCAAGGCTTTTCTAACAGTCACAAAATTACTTTTGATAAGTGTTTTGACAGGTGCCCTCCCCTCACCCTCCAGCAAGTGTTTTTAACCTGAGATCTGCAAAACCACAAGAGGCCAGGGTTGAAACTCAATGGCTCTGTGATTTTTTTTATCCAAAAAAAAACCAAAAAAAAACAAAAAAACAAAAAACAAAAAAACTATATCTTTATTTTTCTTAACCTCTAACCAAAATTAGCATTTCCATCAATAATGAAGGTAGATAGCAAATCACAATGGTATTAATGGTCCCTGTGAATTTGCCATCCGTAGAAACCATAAATATTTTTATGTTGCATTTCAATTGTCAGAGAAACCTCAAAATAACATGTGCGCTCATCACCATTTTGAGTTATCCTAATCATCAGATGAATTAGACTAGACCTAGTTACTTGATGAATTAACTTAAAAACACATATTTTTATAACTTATAGTTGTGGCATTGTGGTTTCTTTAATCTTACTACAGCATTTAAATATAGTCATGCATTGCTTAATGATGGGGATCTGTTCTGAAAAATGTATCTAGGCAGTTGTGACATTGTGCAAACATCACAGAGTACGCTGACACAAACCTAGACGGGACAGCCTACTACACACCTAGGCTGTAGAGTATAGCCTATTGCTCCTAGGCTACAAACCTGTACAGCATGTTACTGTACTGAATACTATAGGCAATTGTAACACAAAAGGGAAGTATTTGTATATCTAAACATAGAAAAGGAATTTTTATACTGTAATAAAATTACAGTATAAAAGGAATAAATAAAAGGAATTTTATACTGTAATAAAATTACAGTATAAAAGACGTATGATTTATAATCCTTTGGGTATATACCCAGTAATGGGATTGCTGGGTCAAATGGTATTTCTAGTTCTAGACTGGACAAAGAAAATGTGGCATATATACACCATGGAATACTATGCAGCCATAAAAAAGGATGAGTTCATGTCCTTTGCAGGACATGGATGAAGCTGGAAACCATCATTCTCAGCAAACTGTCACAAGAACAGAAAATCAAACACTGAATGTTCTCACTCATAAGTGGGAGTTGAACAATGAGAACACATGGACACAGGGAGGGGAACATCACACACCAGGGCCTGTCAGCGGGTGGGAGGCTAGGGGAGGGATAGCATTAGGAGAAATACCTCATGTAGTGATGGGTTGATGGGTGCAGCAAACCACCATGGCACGTGTATACCTATGTAACAAAACTGCACGTTCTGCACATGTACCCCAGAACTTAAAGTAAAATAAAAAAAATTTTTTTGAGATATAAACTTATATACCTGTATAGGGCGCTTACCATGAATGGAGCTTGCAGGACTGGAAGTTGCTCTGGGTGAGTCAGTGAGTGAGTGGTGAGTGAATGTGAAGGCCTAGGATATTACCGTGCTCTACTGCAGACCTTATAAACACAGTACACTTAGGCTATGCTAAATTTATTTTTAAATTTCTCCTTTCTTAAATAATAAATTAACCTTAGCTTATTAGATGACCTCCACAGTATATTTGGTCCATTGTTGACTGAAGGTCTTTATGCAGCACATGATCGTATAATTGATATCCTTTGTAATTCTATGTATATGCTATGCATTTAGAAATAGTTTCTCCAAACTACAAAAGGGGTTCATCATACATCGAAAGTTAAGAGTCCTGCCATATAGTAAAGATTTTCTTATGCTCTGCCTCCCCACTTATAAACCACCCTTGCTTGGTCCACACTCTTTGTTCTGCCTCTCTTCCAAGAAGTGAGTGGTCTACAAAGGCCCTAATGACTGCAGCCATGGGATCTGGTCAACTCCAGTTTAGCTCCCCCAGTCAGCTGTTAATTATGTTCCTACTTTGTCCCAGGCTCTGTGCTAGGGACATATAAATATCTATGTATATATTACCTTTAATCTTCACTAGATGGCACATGTTATCTACATTTTCTAAAACTAGGAGTTTAAAGTTCAGAGAGATAAAGAAATGTACCTAAGTGCAGATGCCAAGTAGTTGTGCAGCTGATGTTCCCTAAATTTGCCCATTTGATCTTTGCAGCATTGGCGAATTGGCAGCAGCATAATCACATGGGCCTAAAATTAAAAAGGGAAATGGCTCCGCTTTCTCCATCCCCTACCATTAGAATCCGCTTAAACCCAACCTGAAGGGATAAAGAAAGAACTCCATACAAACAGCACTCACTTGGGACCACCTCTCTTAAGTTAGATTTTTTTATACCCACCTTCTTGGATAAGGTATCCCAACTCAGCCAGTTATCCAGATGTCAAAGTCAGAAACCTAAGAATTATTCTTGACATCTCCCTCTTCCTTAGCCCTCACATGCTCTATCCCAAGTCTTTGCCATCTACTTCATTTCTGACATCCACTCACTTCCCCCTCATCCACTTAATCCAAGCTACCACGCTCCTATGCCTGGACTATTGCAATGTCCTTTCCCCAAAACTGGCCTTCCAGCTTCCATTCATGTTCCAGTCTAGTCTCCACCCCACCACTCAAGTGCTCTATCTGATCACGTCAGATACTTAGTGTGGTTATGTGATAAATGTCTGAGCCCCTGGATTCTACGGTGCCTGAAGCCAGATACCTTTGGGTGTTTCCATTATATAAGCCCAAAGTTTCCCTCTACTTAAGCCATTTGTATTTAGCTCTCTGTCCCCTGCAACAAATATAGCCTAGCTAATACTTACCTCTTTCCCCCATCTCCCTGATCACTCCTTAGTTATCATTGCACCCCATGAGGCTTGTCCAATGCTTTGTACATATTAGGCACACAATAAATGTTTGCTAAAGTGAGTTGATCTGAATGGTATTCAGAGTCTTATTCTAGATAGAAATGGGGTCTTAAAAGAGAAAGGCCTTGGCCGTGTCCTTGAAAAGCCCACAAAAAGTCACTGCACAAAGATGTAAAAGGCAAACCTAACTGTTGACAACAAAATTCTGTCACCAGTTCTCTTCTCCTCCACGAAGTGGGTTTTAAGAGCAACATAGAGAGTTTTCATCACGTCCTTAAATGTGGTTTTGCTTTACTTCCCAAGCCCTAGAAAACACTCTCATCTCCTGGGCCTCTTCTGTTTTCAAGTCCAGACTGAAAAAAAAAAAAAAAGAGCATGTAGAAAAATCCTATAATTACCAGATCTGATTTTCATTTGAACTTTTCCTCTCTGACATCACTTCAAAGATCTTTGGTGATGGCAGCCAGTAAGGCTGTGATGTGTGTCTGTGATAGAGAATGAACCAGTGTGTGTGTGTGTGTGTGTGTGTCAATGTGTGTGAGTTTGTGTGTGTGTGGGGGGAGGTATTTGTGTGTGTGTATGTTTGAGTGTGTGAATGAAAATGTATAGGATTTGAGTGTGTGCTTGCGTGTATGTTTGAGTGTGTGTGTGAATCGATGTGGTATGTATGTAAATGTGACATGGGGTAGATGGATGGTGTGCATATGAGTGAGTGTGAGTGCATGTGTGCAAATAAATCTGAGGCTGTGAACAGATGTGGGAATGTGCATGTGTCTGTGTGTATGTGTCACTGTGTGTGTATGTGCATTTGTGTGTAAGGGTATTTAAAAAGATGTGGTGTCAGGAGATAGGAAAAAGAAGAGGATACTTTGAGAGAGAAACATATGCTGTGAGAGTGAACATTAAGTCACAGGGACCAGAGATGGAGAGAGACCTCAGCTCCTCAGGCAAGGGACATCCAGGTGGGAAGCAGAGTTGTGAGGAGACACTGAGGGTAAGGCAGCTTAGAGAGTTGTGCCTTCTGGGGCCTCAGTAAATCTGTGAAGAGAACAATTGGATGTTAGAAGCTCAGAACAGGATGTTTATTTGCGATGGATGGAAAAGCTTCTAAGGAAAAGTCTGCTTAGGGTGGCAGTGGATGGGGTTTTGGAAGGCAGATGTCTGTCCTACCAAATCAGAATAATGATGACCAGGAACTCCAGAGCCAGGCATTGTGGGTTTGAATCTAGGCTCCGCTGCATCATCCTGGGTTAGTTAATTAACCTTTCCTTGCTTCAGTTTCCTTATCTGTAAAATGGGAAACAGATTTTGTCTCACAGAGCTGTTAATGATGATGAAATGAGTTACTTAATATATTTAAAGAGCTTAGAATAACGTCTGGCTATTTAAGTGTTCATTACTGTCATCCTCTCCTTCACCATCATCTGCACTTCCCCATCATTAAGCAAATTGCTGACTACAAATACAATAAGCATCTTATCTAGGTTTGTTGATTGAATGAATGAGTGAACGTGAATGAAAGAAGCAGTTTTGCACTGATAAGCCACTTCCCCTCCTGAAGCCTTGGTACTTACTATTTCCTCTGCCCAGAGCACTAGCACCCATTTTTCTGACTCCTTGCACCCTATATTGTACCCATCTATCTGGCCTCCAGTGAAATTTCATTTGCTTCAGGGAAACTACCTGACCTCCCCTGCTTTCCCAGACACACGTGTCCCCAAGAATCCTTGCACCTCTCCTTCCCCTGTAAATACTTACTCAACATCTGTTTTTACTACTTGTCTGGACGTGTATGAGGGCAAGGGCTTTGTCTCTTCTGTTCCCTGCAGTAAACACAGTGCACAGAACAATGCCTGGCACGTGGCAGATGCTCAATGCACATTTAATTATTTAGTTAGGTAATCTTAGAGCAGTGCTACTCAAACTTTAATATGCACGTGAATCAACTAAGGACTGTGTTAAGAATCCGGGACTCTGGCTGGGCGCAGTGGCTCATGCCTGTAATCCCAGCACTTTGGGAGGCCCAGGTGGGAGGATCACGAGGTCAGGAGATCGAGACCATCCTGGCTAACACGGTGAAACCCTGTCTGTACTAAAAAAATTACAAAAAATTAGCCAGGCATGGTGGCGGGTGCCTGTAGTCCCAGCTACTCAGGAGGCTGAGGCAGGAGAATGGCGTGAACCCGGGAGGCGGAGCTTGCAGTGAGCCGAGATCGTGCCGCTGCACTCCAGCCTGGTGACAGACCGAGACTCCATCTCAAAAAAAAAACAAAAGCACAAAAATCTGGGACTCTATGTGTCTAACAAGTTCCCAGGTGGTGCTGATGCTGCTGGTCCACTCTAAGTAAAAAGTGTCCTAGAATATCCACTTATTTGAGGATTTGGAAAATATAATTATGGAAGCAACCTAAGTGTCCATCAATGGACAAATGGATAAAGAAATGGTAATAGATAATAGATAAGTAGATGATAGATAGCTATTCCATTTCATTATTATTCAGCCTTTAAAAAGAAGAAAATCCTGCCATTTGTGACAACATGGATGAAACTTGAGGACACTCTGCTAAGTGAAATAAGCCAGACACAGAAAGACAAACATTACGTGACCTCACTTATATGTGGAATGTACAAAAAAGTTGGACTTATTGAAACAGAAGGTAGAAGCATGCTTACTATGGGCCGAGGAACGGGGAAAACGGGGAGATGTTGGTCAAAGGGTACAAACTTTTGGCTATAACATGAATATGCTCTGAAGATCCAATGTACGGCATGATGACCATAGTTAGTAATAATGTATTGTGTACTTAAAATTTGCTAAGAAAATAGATCTTAAGTGTTTTCACCACACACACAAAATTGGTGACTATGAGGTGATGGACATGTTAATAAGCTTGGTTGTAATTATTTCACAATGCACACATATATTAAAATGCCACATTGGACACCATAAATATATACAATTTTTATCTGTCAAGAATAAAATTTTTTCTTATAAAAAAAGAAAATATAATGATTTTATGCCATATAAACATGGCTGTACTGTGGAGCAGAATGCAATGTTTACCTGAGTTTTTAATATAAAGCCCAAGATACTGAAAACACAGAAACAAGCACACCCCCAAGCCCAGTTTCCTGTAATCTGGCTGACACTTGCTCCTAAAAGATTACAAACAGCTGCAGCCCTTTGAATCGCTTTGTGCCTCAGTTTCCTCATTTGCCAGATTAATATGACTTCGGAGTCAAGAGACCTTGATGAAAACCTGTACTACATCACTAGCTAGTTGTGAGACCCGGGGGGAGTCACTTCACTGCTCTGAGCTTCAGTTTCTCCATCTGTAAAATGGGGGTGGTACTTACTTGACGAAGCTGTGAGAAGTACTCACATGAGGTCATTACCCAGCATCGAGCACGTGGTAAACACTCACCAAATGTTGACTGGATATGAGTCTCATTTCCCCCACCCATCCATAAAGATAAACCATAAAGATTTTATACACGTCAAGGAAGCTGGAGTTATATGAAAACACTTCCCCAATGTTATAGAATGTTATGATTGCCAAGGTAAACTGATTTACAGAAACCAGAGCAGAACAAAGGCCAAAGGGAAGCAAGTTGCCTCTGAAATACAAACCAGGGAAAAGAGGTGCGCACAAGCGGAAGAGCCGGGCTTTGAGACAGACACAAACAGTCTTGTTTGGGCGAAGAAAAAGGCTAATGTGAAATTATTTTTAAGCTTTAAATGAACTGGTTTCTTTCCCCCTGAATTCAATTCAGAGAGAAAAGAGCAGTCAGATATAATCAAGGACTGACAGAGAGCAAATTATTTGTTCTGGTAAACACACATCTCTCCAAACTCGCTTGAAGCATTTTCTGCTTTCTAAAGAAGCTCTTATGAATGCAGAGCCGCAAAGAATCACCTGGTAAGTGTCTGTTCCGAAAGGCAACAGTGGCACTTCCAAGAAAAGGCAGCCCATCCCTGGGTGCATCGGAGCCCAAGGCCCCTGGCTGGGCGTCATGGAGAGTGGGCTCCGAGGGGCTTTGTAGCTGCTGCCACTTAATGTGCTAACGGAGATGGCACCACATGAGACACCAGCCACAGATGGGGCCCCTCCAGCAAAGGAAGGCATGGCGAGGTGGCAGGGGTGAGCTGAGGCTTCTCTCCAGAGGCAGAGGAGGGGCACTCATTGCTGGAGTTTCTGTCTGTCTTTTTCGTCTTTTGATGCATAAATGTTCAGCTGAGGTCATGAGGTTGGGAAAGCGTGGGGATGCAGATGAGTGCTGTCCAATAGAAATATAACACCAGACACATTTGTAATTTAAAATTTTCTAAGGCCAAGCATGGTGGCTCATACCTGTAATCCCAGCACTTTGGGAAGCCAAGGCAGGAAAATCAATTGAGGCCAGGAGTTCAAGACCAGCCTGAGAAACATAGCAAGACCTCATCTCTACAAATAATTTAAAAAACAAATTAGCTGGGCATGGCGATGTGTGCCTGCGGTCCTACCTACTCGAAGGGCTGAGGCAGGAGGATCACTTGAGCCCTAGTAGTTGAGGCTGCAGTGAGGGAGGATGCACTCCAGCCTGGCTGACAGAGCAAGAGCCCATCTCAAGTAATTAGTTATAATAATAATAATAATAATAATAATAATAATAATAATAATAATATAAAATGTTTTAATACCCACATTGAAAGAGTAAAAAACAAACAAACAAAAAGTGACATTAGGGCCAGGCGTAGTGGCTCACACCTGTAATCCCAGCACTTTGGGAGGCTGAAGCAGGTAGATTTCTTGAGCCCAGGAGTTCAAGACCAGCCTAAGCATCATGGCGAAACCCCATCTCTATAAAAAAAAATACAAAAATTAACCAGGTGTGGTGGCATGCTCCTGTAGTCCCAGCTACTTGGGAGGCTGAGACAGGAGGATTGCTTGAGCCTGGGAGGTGGAAGTTGCAGTGATCTTAGATGGCACCACTGCACTCCAGCCTGGGCAACAGAATGAGACCCCGTCTCAACAACAACATCAACAACAACAAAAGTGACATTCATTTTGATAGTATTTTACTTAACCCCATATACCCTAAACACTAGCATTTTTCCATGTAATCAATGTAAAATTATTAATGAGATATTTTACATCCTTTTTCTTCATACTAAGTCCTCGACATCCAGTAGGTACTTCACACTTACAGCACATGTCATGCTGATAGTTAATAGCCAAGATGGTGAGCAGCTACCATACTGGAAAGCACAGCTCTCCATGGTGCCATTCAGTGATCATTCCAAGGACTTACATTTTATTTTCCTTTGAATAATAATAAAGTCTAAGTTTCAGAGGAGAGGTACTTTTCAGGAAGCTGGGAAGGAGTACTTCATTACATCTTTGGAGCTATTTGATGTTCCACACTGGGGAAGGAAGTCTCTTTCTGTCTCTCTCTCTATGCCTCCCTCTCTCTTGTTCTGTTTCTCTCACCCTGTTTTCTGTTTCTCTCTGCCTCTTTTCTCACTCTGTCTCTCTCTTTCTGCTTCTCTGTCTTCATCTCCCTACCTCTGCTTCTCTTAAAATTAATTACTTTCTTATTACGAAAGCAACAGAAATTATTGTAGAAAATTTCCCACATATAAATAAGAAAATTGAAGAGATCTCAATCCACCCTCCTCAAGATAACCACTTGGTCATGATTAGCACCTTACAATACCTCCTTTTAGACATTTTGTGTTTGTCTCCAATGCACATTAATGACTCTGGAAGTAGCTTGCCTGGATATGAGTCTCAGCGCCTCCAGCCCATGACCCAGAACTTGAGTAACTTATTTCCTCTTGGCAACTTGGTATTCTCTGCCTTAAAATAAGGACAATAATGGTCCCTTCTACACCAGTGAGGTTGTCATGATGTCTATATGAGCGGATACTGGTAAAGCAATTAGCCCACAGGCAGGTACTTGGTAATAGCTTAATAATCATTAGCTAGTCCGCACACATGAAGAGAGATGCTACTGCTGCTGTACCTAGTATTTCCTAACTTGCTTTTCCCTTTAACAATATATTGAAATAAACTACGTTTCCATTGTCCATAAATCCTTATCTATAGTGTCATTTTTGGTGGCTGGAAGCAGCAGCCTGTTCTTCCCACTCCCTAAACCCCATGCCTGTATGGGTATTTAGCAGGACAAACCAGAAGAGCAATAATTCCACGAAATCAAGACCCATGTCTTTTTTTTTTTTTTTTTTTTTTTTTGAGACAGGGACTTACTCTGTCCTCCAGGCTGGAGTGCAGTGGTGTGATCACAGGTCACTACAGCCTTGAACTCTCGGGCTCAAGCAAACCTCCTCCCTCAGACTCCCAAGTAGCTGGGACCACAGGTGTATGCAACTACAGCTGGCTAATTTTTTTTCAGATCCAATGTCTATCTCATTCATTCCTGGTCTCTGTTCATAGCAGAGTCAGAAGCAGCTCATACTCTCAATAAATGTAGTTTAGATGGATGGGTGGGTCGGTGGATGGATGGATGGATGGATGGATGGATGGATGGATGGATGGATGGATTAGAGGACACAAGGGTCAAGCCCCAAGTGTCCTCTGATGGGAAGGCTGGATCTCAGATTTGGGTCCCAGTCATTAGGATACAAGCCAGGGCAGGGACCATGAGGTCCAGAGTTTTGAAGGCCACAGCTGAGGAGTTTTTCTTCAGTATATTAGAATAAGCTGTCTGGTGGAGATAGTGACTCTAAACTCTGGACAAACTAACAAATAAAAACCTACCAGAGGCATTGGAGAATGAGCAACGGCAGGGAGATATTGGAATGAAGGTGAGACTTGGAAGAAGGGAATGATATAGGATGAGTTCCATATTGTTGCAGCTTTCACCTTAATATAGGCCTATAAAAAATATCCTCACATAAAATGGCTGGATCTCCACTAGAAAACTCACCTTCTTTCTGACCTATGAAACCAGAAGGTAGAGCCCAAGGGGGGCCCAACCACCAGAAAATGAGGGAAGAATCTTAGGAAAGAAAAGCAAGAGAAATGGAGTCCCAAATTCTATGTATAATTTCTTCCCAAGACACCAGCTGATTCCTGAACCACACCTGCATGGAACAGACTTAAAGCAGTTTCCTGCTAAGGCTGGAGGTAAATGAGCTGCCATAGTCCTCAACTGAGACACACTGCAGACTGTGTCTAATCAAGTCAACTGCCTGCCAAAACAAAAACTTCATCATTCTTTGGAAGAATACAGCAAAATTCAGAGTCTCCAAACACATCAGTCACAATGTTGAGGACATACTCCAAAGTTACTTAATATATAAAAAACTTGGAAAATGTAATCCATTATCAAGAGAAAAGACAAGCAGAAGAAGCCCACTTCAAGGTATCTCACATGTTGTAAATATCACATGAGGATCCTAAAGTGATTATTATAACTTTCTCAATGAGCTAAAGGAAAGTATGCTCATAATGAATAAATAGATTAAATCTCTCAGCAGATAAATATAAAATATATCAAAGAAACATAAGGAAATTTTAGAAGAAAAAATGCAATATTTGAAATAAATGTTACAGCTGAGGGCAGAGAGACAAAATGAAGGTCATGGTAAGGTTGATGACCAGCAGTTCCACTGAGAAGGAAGCACAAGGGAAGGGGCATTAAAGTGCAGCCCTGAGGAGTTAACACCTACAATATGTACCAGAAGGACTTGTTTAAGAATGAGCAAAATATCTGTATACAGGCTCAGGTCAGAGTTTCTCCTACAGACTGAAACAAAGAGGGGCTGGGACCAAAAGACAATGTTTTAAGAAATAATAACATTGAGAGTCATTCACTGGGCACTGAATTACATTATCTTATTTAATTTTTATAACAAACCTAGGAGGTTACTTACAATTATATCCTATTTTTATCTGGCAAGCCTGAGACCAAATGTTAATCAACTCATCCAAAACTACACATTTGTATTAAGTTTTCTATTTCTCAGTGATAAATTATCACACACTTAGTAGCTTAAAACAACATACTTCTACTATCTCACAGTTTCTGCAGGTCAGGTATCTAGGCATGACCTAGCTAGGTCCTCTGCTTTGGGTTTCTGGAGGTTATAACCAAGATTTCAACCAGGTTGTGTTCTCATCTGCAGGCTTGACTTCGGAAGAATCTACTCCCACACTCACTCAGATTACTTCCAAAATTCATTTTCTTAATGCTATAGAACTGAGAGTTCCAGCTATGGAAACTGGCTGTTAGCTGGAGGCTTCCCTAAGCTTTCAGAGGCCACTTGCAGTTCCTAGAAGCTGCTCAAAGTTCCTTGACATTGGGATCTTCCCACCATGTCTGCTTACTTCATTGAGCCAGAAAGAAAAATCTCTAGTGCAAGTCTGCTGACGAGAAGTATCTTATACAATGCAATGTCATCAGGGGAGAGATATGCCATCACCTTTGTCATATTCTATTGGCTAGAAGAAAGTTACAGGTCCCACTTACACCCAAGAGGAAAAGGTTATACAAAGATGTGAACACCAAGAGTCAGGATTACCTTAAAGAGGCTGTCCACAGCTGGAGGAGAGCAATGTGAGACAAGCATGAAAAGCTAACCCGAGACAGATGAAATGATCAGTAGATAACTATAACATTACTCTAAAGATGACTTATCCTTAGGATAAAATATTGCTGGAAAAATATAAGGAATGGTTGATATACAACACTTTATAAGCTAATGTTTCATGCTTAATTTGAAAAAATAAATGAGACAAAGGAACTAAAAACAAATTTAACATCTAATTCTATGGATTGAGTATTTAAAAATATTTTTTTTTTCATTTTCATAAACAAAGAAAGATCAGCCTGAATGACAACAGCAACAGGTTGCACGGAAACTTTTGAGAGAAAAATCATAAGCCATTGATTTGGTCCTCTTTTACAACTTTTCATGACATTATCACTTCTAAGACCACCTCATGAATCCTTTAAAGGAATTTTTCATAATGAGCATGTCCTTGAAACCTCTGTAACAACTGGGTATTTGGACCTCAAATACTATTCACTCATTATCTTGCAGGCCAATTGAATAAGCCACTCTGATCGCTCATGAATGGGCAGTGAATCCTATCATTCATTCTCCGCCTACATGTTGGTACTATCAATCTCTTTATCCTTCTCTGTCTTTCTTTGTGCCCCTCAAACTTAAATTGTGCAACTAAGTCACTAAGAGAACATATTTTTAAAAAATACAAATTCCAAGCCCACCTTTTAATAACTTCTATTGTAGTTTCCCTGGTGTGCTGCCCAGAAATCTTCATTTCACCAAGCACTCCCTTCCCAGATGATAGTGATGCAACTGGAGAGCTGATGCTGTCTCTGAAACATTGGTCTAAGACAGCACCATCCAACAGAAACTTCTGCCATGACAGAAAAGTTCTATATCTGTGCTGTTCAACACAGTAGCCACACTCCCATTTGTGGCTAGACTACTTGAAATGGGGCTAGTGGAGCTGAGAAACTGAATTTTTAATTAGCTGTAATTCTACTTAATCTAAATTTAAACAGCCACATAGGGCTAATGGTATTTGGACAGCATAGCACTTTCATTTATAAGATTCAGGCCAGGAACTCCTAGTTCAAGGAAGTGCTGACTTTGTTTCTAGATCTTTGTGTGCTTGATTCTTCATTCTCCCCTATAATTAAGTCAGTCTGGAGGTGTATATTTGGAGGGAGATAGGTAGATATAGATAGATACACTTTTTTCCTAAAAGTGGAGCTTACCAGTAATTATCATTTAGTGCCATGCTCATCAAAGAATCTCTTGCTCAATATTTAACCATCCTCACAAAACTAGCCAGATCCAGCTCTTGGTTTATAAAAATAGTTGGCAAAGGCGAGACACAGATGCCAATAAATAAATAAATAAATAAAACCTTTCCCCTCCTTGCTCCTTGTGCTTCCAGTAATTTGTGTGCAAGAATCTCTCACAGACCCCAGCTGCCCCCGAGCTCACTGAGGTCATTGGAAATGAGTTTAGAGAAGACGACGACAATGGTCAGAAGGGTGAGAAGAATTGTTTACTGTGTGACCTGGAGTGAGACCCTCTCAACTAGCGGCCTCAGTCTCCCCATCTGTAAAATGGAGGTGCCTGAACTAAATGAGCTGAAGGACTCTTTCAGTTTTAAAATTCTTATTTAAAATAACACAATTTTAGATCAGAAAGCTGAGCTTTCTAAAAAATAAATAAAAATAATAACATAATTTATCTGTACTGAGCTGACCATGATATTTTATATACTTGTTAAGTGAATAAAACAAGTTCCCCATTTTTGGAAAAAATATACATATATATACACTATATATATGTGCATATACATACACACGGCAGATACTAATATGGAAAGATACACACACAAAGAAAAGATTTGAAAGTGTACACACCAAAGCTTGACAAAGGTAACAACCTCTGGGTAGTACCAATCCACGTCTATTAGTCTTGACAACCTAGGACTCCATCGTTAGGTAATCAAACCTAGTCCCCCTTCTTCTATCAGTCCATGTGATTTGGATGGAATTGACTCTATCTCCAGCTCCAGTGATGGACATGTGACCTAAGCCTGGCCAAAAGAGAACAGCATCTCTCAAGCGGTCCAGGTTGGGCACCTGACACAAGCCAGAGCCTTGCCCAGACCTGTGAGCCAAGAGCTCTTTTTCCTCTGGGAATAGGTAAGTCTGAAGGCTCCCAGGGCCGCCTAGCAAGAGGCTGCCTAAGAACTACCCTATGCAGAAGAAGCAGAGCTGAAAGATGAAGAGAAGCAGAGGCTTATGGTCTGTTTTGAAGCTGTGGACCCAGTTGTATGTGAGGGTAGGTATACCCTAGACTTTTCAGCTTAGTAAATCAATAGATTCCTTTTTCATAGTGAAGCCCCATGGAGTTGTAGTCACTTGCAACCTTCATTAGTACAGAGGTTGGAATTGGCTGGGTATGATAAGAGAACCTCTACCATTTATTTCAGGGGCTTCTATTTTTGTCGATTTTTTTTTTTTTTTTTTAGACGGAGTCTCGCTTTGTTGCCAGGATGGAGTGCAGTGGCATGATCTTGGCTCACTGCAACCTCCGCCTCCCGGTTCAAGCGATTCTCCTGCCTCAGCCTCCAGAGTAGCTGGGACTACAGGCACGCACCACCATGCCCAGCTAATTTCTGTATTTTTAGTAGAGACAGAGTTTCACCATGTTGGCCAGGATGGTTTCAATCCCTTGACCTCATGATCCGCCTGCCTTGGCCTCCCAAAGTGCTTTTTGTCGAATTTTTTTTTAACAATAAACATGAATTTATAATTTTAAAATGCATTGATGTCCTTAATCTTGACAATAACTTGAATGTTTCAAGCTGCTGCTGTGGACCAAACACGAAACTAAGCAATTTCCACACATTAAATCATTTAATACTCACTCTCATCCTCTAAGATAGGTAGTTATTAATACTATGCTCATTTTATAGATAGGGAGACCAAGGCTGAAAAAGGCTAAGCAATTATTTAAGGGCACACGGGTGAAAAACAGGGGAGACTGGACTGGAACCCAAGTATGTCAGTCTTGAAAGACACGTTTTTATTGCTTCTTTATTTCTGTTTGGTGTTTAGAAGAACTGGAGCTCTTATAAAGATCTGTTTTGCCCACTGGAATACAAGCTCCCATAAGGGCAAGGGCGTGACTGCCTTGTTCATTACTAAACACCCAGCACCCACCACAGTGTTCAGCACAGAGGAGCTCCACAAACAATTGCTGAATGAGCAAATGAATTAATGAATGAGATGTGATATCTGAGACTTGACGAGGCCAAGGCATATGGAAAGCTCATGGAAACACCCGTTTCAGGCCAACATCTAAAGCATTCCTTCCACCTTCATCAGGGATGTATCTCAACAGCTCAGACATGCTTTCCAGTTGAAAACATTCATTTAATTAGCAGGCATTTTCCAAAACGGATGTGCCTTTCTCAATCACTGTGTCTGCCATGGACATTTGCTGAAAAGGTCCCCCCATCCCCCAAACATCAAAGCATGTGCTCCACAGACCTTTCTCCCCCAATTACTTCCATTGGGGAAGGACAGCCATGCGGACGAGAAATCGGTCACAACACGCAAGATGTTCTCTCTTTGTAAAAAAGATGCTTGTGGTGTACGCTACTCTTTGGAAGAGAAAAAAAAAATCTGTGTCTTTAAAAATGTTTCTTTTGCTGCTGCTCACTGGGAACTGCCAAGAATCATTTTTCATTGAGATCTGGCTTCCCCTCCCAGAAACAGAACCAAGAATAACCTATAAGATACTGTTTCATTGGGTTTGTTTTATTTCTTCCTGATTTTTGCAGCTACTGGGATGGGCATTCTGGCCCTTGTGCTTTGCTTTGGTTTAATCATTACAAGTCAGCTATGAATAAGAGACTATGCAACCTTTTTTCTCTTGAGTCTCTGCATCCCAGAGCCTGGGACAGCATTAGCTATGGATGGAGGTGGCACTGGTATTTTGGAAAGATGATGTTCCTTATGAAAACACAATTCTCCAAATCTACTGAGCCATAGCTGGAGTTGGTTGAGTCAAACCCTCACCCTAAACCCTTCCATAGCTCTCCATTGCCATCTAGATAATGAACAGTTGGACTTAGCACGGCATCTTGGCTTCCCCACCTTACCACCAATGCCTGCGCATGTGTTCCTCTCTCTACCTGAAAGATCCTTTTTTCCCCCCATTCCTTTCACCTGGTTAAATCTACTCAGTGTCAGGTCTCAGCTTAAATGTCACATCCTCCAAGAAGCCTCCTTTGCTCCCTCTCTCCACCTTCCTCTAGAAGAATTGAATTCAGTACCTTTTTGGTGCAATTACAGCCTACCCCTGTCCCTCAGCACTGATGGCACTATTATAAATGCCCACTCACTGCTTCATCACCCCTACCAGATCTGAATCCTTTACATGCTGAGTCTTAGAGTCTGGCACATAATAAGCCCTCAGTGAGTAGTTGTTGCATGAACAGGGTGAATATATAAATGGGAGCAGGGTAGAGGAGGAAGTGTCCAGGTAGGAAGAAGTTGAATTTTCCTCCTTAGAATGGTTGGGTTGCAGGGTACTGAACATTATAATGAAGGCAGTCATAGTCCAATCCTTACTCCCAACCCCAGGGTGCACAGAAGAATCAATCTCTCCAAGTATTGTTCCAACAAGGAAATCAACTTGTTCCTACAAAGTAATTCCAGCCAAACAGGTCTGCTCGTAGTTCTCCAAGCAAGCTAACTTTGCCTCAGAGCTTTAACCAACCAATGTGGCTTCCAAGACAAGAGACTTGGAAGGAACCTTCAAAGTCACAGAGAAGGTTGGGGTGAGGACAGAAGGCAAAAGAAAAACAAATAAGAAGGCAGAAATTCTTGGACAGGAGGGCCCTCTGACCCTGGCTTAGGCCTCCAATTGTAATCCTGTGTGGCAGTTTCCAAAGAACTAGGACTGAGATGGTGGGGGAAAGTGAAAGAGAGCCAGAAAAATTGGAAGAGTCTTTTCCCTCCAAATTTTGAGCCTGAGAAAACTCCATTTTACCCTTGGCTTATTGTATCCCATATGGCACTTCATCAGGTAAGCAGGACTTTTTTTTTTTTTTTTTTTTTTTTTAAGAGACGGGGTCTCACTCTGTCACCCAGGCTGGAGTGTGGTGGTACAATAACAGTTCACTGCAGCCTCAACATTGTGGGGTCAGTCAATCCTCCTGCCTCAGCCTCTTGTGTAACTAGAACTACAGGCATACACTACCTTGTTCAGCTAATTTTTTTTTTTTTTTTTTTTTTTTTTTTTTTTGGTAGCAATGATGTCTCACTGTGTTGCTCAGGTTGGTCCCAAACTCCTGGCCTTAAGCAATTCTCCTGCCTGAATTTCCCAAAGTGCTGGGATTACAGGCATGAACCACCATGCCTGGCCTAAGCAGGCTTGGATATCCTTCTGTTCTATGAGACTTGTGGTGCAAAGTTCACTGCCATACAAGAATTGTTGGGCCTGATACGGTGGCTCACACCTGTAATCCCAGCACTTTGGGAGGCCAAGGCAGGCGGATCGCTTAAGGTCAGGTGTTCGAGACCAGCCTGGCCAACATGGTGAAGCCCTGTCTCTACTAAAAATATAAAAATTAGCCAGGCATGGTGGTGCATGACTGTAATTCCAGCTACTGGGGAGGCTGAGGCAGAAGAATTGCTTGAACCTAGGAGGCAGAGGTTGCAATGACCTGAGATCACGCCACTGCACTCCAGCCTGGGTGACAAAGTGAGACTGTCTTAAAAGAAAAAGAATTGTTGGCTTCTCTCAGCCTCCACCCAAATGGCATCTCCTTAGGACAGTAAGTTTTCACTTCCCATTTCTCAATACCTCAAATATCTCTCTCCCCTGGGACATTGCTCCAGGAAAGGTCAAGGGGACTTTTGGTTCAATGGATTTTCTTCATTAACAGAGAGCCCTTTCTTGCCTCAGAATGTATACTTGAAAACCATGCTTAAATGTCCTAGTTTGAGGCTCACTCTGCCAGGTGTTTAAACTCTAGCTTTATCTTTCAGGCTATGTGATCTTGGGCAAATGACCTAACCTCTCTGAGACTGTTTCCTCACCTATAAAGTGGGAGAACAGACCTCTCTCATGAATTTTGATGAAGATGAAATGAGATGACAAATGTAGAACACCAAGCACAGTTTCTGGTTCCAACAAAGGACCTATGATCCACAATTATTATTTCTGTACTGGGATGAATTCATTTCTTGAGTAAGGGCTTGGATTCTACCGCCAGCTTTTCTAACTAAGATTTTGTAATTCTAAAATAGTATGTTGAATAAACAAAAATAGATTTTTCTGTCTTATATAAAATTAGAGCTGCAGAAAATGCAAAAGAGATAAAGAACTGGTTCACTTAGACTCCAGGATGTATCATAAAAAGTTTTGTTATTTCTGTTGTTAATACATTCCTGATAGCCACTTGTTTCCTGGTTATTTGCCTTTTTGGCTCTGATTGGCCAGGTTCCAGTACATTGAGGTTTTCACTGCACTTGGAAGCTGTGTTTTGAAGACCTCGAATCCTCTGTGAAAATGAAAACTTCTTTTTCCCTTTTCTCCCCAAACTTTGGTGGCCAAATACCATCACCCCACACCCCCCGATTTTGAGGACTCTTCCCACTTTAGATGCTTTGTAGCAGTGTTTCTATAATCATCCATTGTCCCAGAACTTAAAGTCTTTTGGCCTCTGAACTAATTCCCATCCTTGCCTCTCACACTGAGAAGTGGTCAAGAAAAAATTTTGGTTCATGCATCCCCAGTTTTAGTTCAGATAATTTGACTCTACCTTCATAATATATGTCACTTTTGCTTTCAACCATTATCCTCATCATTCAACATCATATTCTTCTGTCAATTGCCTTCCCATTTCTAACAATGTCATGTCTAACAATGCCCTGCACATGCACACAACTGCACAAACACACAACCACACATGATCATCTCCCTTTTCTCCCACTACCACCGGCATTCCTATTGTGATGATTTATATTCAGCAGAAATTTTTGGGAAAAGGTTTGAGGAAAACTTTTTTAATGTCTTCCATTACCACGGGGCATGTGAAGGTGTTGTAATTATACCACTAACCAAAGAATTCATTTCTTTCCTGAATCCCTGAAAGAATCTGAATAATCTGAGGACGTAATAGTTTTTTTCCCGCCCAGTGTGGCAGGGCAAAATACACCCATACCAAGATAAATGGTTCCTTTCTAGCTTTAGCAAAAGGTTCTTAAGAGCCGGCCAGCCCAGCAACCACCAAATACAGCTCCTTGACTTGATTACCTTCTTCCTTCTCTATATTTCTTGACAGTATCTTCAACTATCCAAAAGCAGGCCCAAAGTGCCTGTCCCTAACCTAGTCTGAACGTCCAAGAACAGCACAGCAACCAAATCAGGTCCAAAACTAGTAAGCAGAGGCTGGAGTGCCATCTGCTGACTATTTTTATAAGACATCTTCCTGCTTAGCCCACACCACTAAATGCCCACACCACCCCATTTCAAGGCTGCCAAAAGAATCTAATGGTATAGCTTCAGGCATAGGAATGCATGAATTTTTTACTATATTAATATCTCATTATTCCATTATTGGGAATAGGCATTTAGAAACAAAGCCTTCTTTTCACTTTTTTTTTTATTTAAAGGCAAAATGAAAAATCTGGGAAAGACTGACTCTTTTATAATTGCTTTTATTATTGATGTTTTTGTTATTACTATTACAGTGTTATGTTAATAGATAATAATAATAGCAACTCTTTGAAACTCCAATTTTGCACACTTTTAATCTGGATCTCCAAATCAGCATATCACAGTTTGCAAAAAGATTTATGATCCTCTGAGAGCTTACGAGACCATAACAGAACAAAGGCAAAAAATAAAATAAAATAAAATAGAAGAAACTGAAATGAATGAGTGCGCTGCCAAAGGAGCAAGAATTCAGCTCATTCAGGTATATTTCAAGATCAGGTTGATAGGCGTTTCCCATGAAAATAAGCATTTCTACTTAAGATCAAATGGACTCATTTCTTTTTTCCAGGCTATTACATTTTTTGTTGTCCTTTAAAACCAGAGGAAACACTGGGAGTTCTCCTTTTTAAATAACTGTGCCATCTCTTAGAGAGAAAATGGAAAATCCCATAGTTAGATGTCCTTCTTTAGGGTTTATTTTGCCTCTATTACTTCAGGTTTCAAATTAGACAGTAAATTTGCCAAAATCAATAGAGAGAAGAAAGATGTCTTTCTTTAGAAGAACGGATGACATGTTTTTATTTGTAATATTCTCAGGAAGTATGTCGATAACATGCAAAAATCAAATACTCTCTTTCCAACTGCACCATGTAGGAGTTTTCCTAGATGGCCATCTACGTAAATTTTGACAAATATATGAAAAGTAATACACATTGCATATATACACGTGCATGTTTTGATCTGTTATCCTCAAAAGCACCCACCCTGAAGAAGACACATTCACTAGTCGGATGTGTATAAGCTTTCTACACTGAACAAGTCTTTGGGATTCTAATAGTTTCTTTTGTTTGTACTTTGCTCAGACTTTCAGAGGCATCTACAAATTCCAGATCTTTCTTCAAGGGGAGGACTTGGTTAATATTTCCTAGTATTTTCAGCCCCTTCGTTGATTTCCTTCCTTTCTAGTATTTTTAGTTCCTGAGATAAAACCTCATTTATAATAAAGTCAAAATCCCTGGAAAACATTTCGTCAATGAAACATCCAGCTTTGCTATTCATTATTTCATTGAATGAATGTTTTTTCCTTGAAACCTGATGGCCCAACTCTGATTATTTAAAGGCAGACACAAAACTAGAATTGTGTCTAGTTTTTTAATATTTAATACGTAAAACTCTTCTTTAAAATATTTGTACTTTGCCATAAAATGGCCTATTCAAAGGCACAAATTTGCTAGGACCAAATCATTCAATTTAGGAATAATCGTATGTCAGCACCAGACCCAATGTTGGCAGATCCTATTTAATTTATCTCTCAGCCTCTTTTTTTTTTTTTTTTTTTATCATTGCAGGTTATTCATGATCCCTAGTCTAAAATGTTGAAATTTCAAAGCATGACTGAAAACATTTTAAATGAAGACTAGTCAAATAAGAAGCACTATTTCTTTATAGGGTCCTTTCATTATTTCCCCCAGAAATTTGGGGAGGTTTCTGCAATCACCATACATTCGAAATACCAGCTGCTAATTTCCACATAATTTTCTGCCCTGTTTAAAAAGGATTTTTTTGTTGTATGGATTTAGTGGGGTTAGGATTGAGATAGCGTGTGTGTTTGCACGCTCGCATGCAGAAAGATAGAGAAAAAGAGAGCGCACATAAGTAGTTTTGCTTTGAAGTCCCTACATAATTACTGTTAAGATCTATCAAAATGTACCGAGACAGCTCTCCTTGCTGAAATCTGATGAACAAAAAGGCAAGCAACGTCCAGGAAGACTGTAAAAGAATGGATCAAATTAAGAGCAAGAACAAATGCAACCAAGGTAGACTGAAAGATGTTGTGGTTTCTGTCGTTGTTTATGTGTAGGGAGGAATTAGAAATGAGAAGGAAAGACAGATGGGGGAAGAAAGCAAGGGAGAGAGAAGTTGAAGGAAGGCAAAATGGAAAAGAAAGAGGAAAACATTTATGGGGGGATGATAAAGAGAAAAGGAAGGAAAGAAGGGAGGGAAGGAGAGAAGGAAGGGAAGAAGAAAGAAAGAGAAACATTTACAGAGTTGTGGGCAGGAGAGCTGTTTTATCTTTGTGTGTTTTCTAATTCAAAGCTGTATGTCCTTGGTGCCGAAATTAAACATTACATATGGAACACAGAAAGAAAAGGGGAGAAAGAGTGGGTTTCCCTTTTTCATTTCCTTTGTTGGAATACTGGTTTGGAACATCTAAAGAGAAAATGGTTGCAATGTTGCAGAATTTTTCTTCTTTCAGTAATGATCAAACTAGCAGCTGCTTTCAGCAAAAGTTCTTAATGTCACAGTGCTCCCTGGAGTATTGCCTAGAAGGGACCCTAACGTCAACCTTTTAACTTCCCTTCCTCACTCTACTTGTTTTTCTTACAATGGGGGGAGGAAGGGATAGGAAAAATTTTAAACAGTCTCAGAAGCTTTTGAAGAGCTGCCACTGGCCAGGGGAAAGGAGGATTTCGAGAAATAACTTCCGATTTATTTCAGATAGTTAGGAGAAGGGGGAAAAGGGAATAAGACCTTTCTCTTCATTTTTGTCTCCCCCCCGCCCTTACCCCCTTAATCCTATTTTAGTTGAGGTCTGACCTTGGAAATTTCCAAAGGACTTTAATCTCCTGTACTTCAAATTGCTAAAGGGAGCTGAAAGAAAGAGTGCTGCATGTGGGTAAAGGTGGTTTAAAATGGTTTATTTATGAATGGTTTAGGCTTTCCTGATAGTAAGAATGTTAACTAGTTCGTTAGGCACTCTCTGTAAATATAAACCTTTTTCAAAAAATTTATTTCCTCCTTTTTTTTTCCTTCAGACAAAATGCATTCAATCATTAAACCTCAGCGGAGAAAAATGATCTTAAGCCTCCTGCCCCTGGGCAGATCTGACACACTCAAACGTTAATATTCTCAGATAGCTTGGAAATGCCATTTGGTGCTTTCTATAACTACACTGCTCTTCCCCAATCCCCCGCTGCCCTCTGCAACTTCTACCAGAGAAAACAAATTACCTTCATCTTGAAAGGGGGGGAGGTAGGTAGAAAACAAGAGAATGAATTGTTTTTATAAATATTTTAGAGATATGAAAGAAATCCAGGCACTGAATACGTTATGCAGATCTCAAATTAGGGGAGGTACGAACTGATTGAAATCATTAAGTATTTCACTTTTCAGATGAAAGGCTCTCGTTTTGCATTGCCATGTAGAGTTCTGATGTAATTCAAAGTGTCATTTTTGGAGGGGTTTTGGTGATTAAGACTTTTTCATTTCTCTCATTAAAGGGCCGATTTTCCTGATGTGGGTTGTAACTTCGTTCCAATCTGAAATTTCACCCACCCCTTCTCCCCGCCCAAAAAAAGGTCTATATTTACGACTGATTTTTGAAAGAATAACACATCCAGTTGTATACATATTTTTTAACTGTTTTTGATTGTATTGAATTACGAAATGCAGAAACCACTTTGCCGTCATTCTCAAAAGTCCATTTTAAATCACGAGATACGTCAAGGTATAATTACTCATATTTAAAACATTCTGTAATTATAAGAAGAAAGAATAGAAAAATGGCTTTAATAAAAGGCTATTGGAAGCAATTGACTCTCAGCAAATGTTGGTCTTTTATAAAGTTCATAATTTCCCAGTAAATTATTTTTAGTTACTAAACATCTTAAACATGAAGGATCTTAAAAGAATTCCTCATCTGCCACCACACATACATGCACAGAAAAAAATTATAAAGTTTTCTAAAAGTGCGTTTTTAAAAGACCTCAGAAACGGAAATATTTCTCAGGAAATGTCGAACACAAATGTCTATATAATATCTACATGAAATAATAAATCAAAATCAGTTTTTTTCATCTGACAAAACACAATAAACGGGTTTAGAATATTGTTTGAAGCATTTTTTTTAGCTTTCCAAAAGACCAATAATAGATGATGCCCTATTGGGAAAGATAACATGTGTTTTCTTGTAGCTTGGTGGGAAAAATATTTTTTGCTCTTTGTAAAGGAAATCAGATATATATTTGGGGGAAAAGAATATAATGTTTCACTGTGATACGGTCCAACAAAAACCCAGGAAATTCAAGGTTCAACTGATGCTTGGCTAAAAATTCACACCATTGTGCCCCTTTACTGATGGCAGATTTCGAAGCCCAGAATGTATGGGTGAACCTCAAGTTTCCTAACTTCAGCCTCTTATGTCTAAACATCAAATTGTTATTTAACTATTAGCCGGTGTTAGACTGCCTGCCATTTTTTTTCTTTTGTTTTCCCTTGGATATTTTATATCTTTGCTGATCTTTCCAGCACATCACCTGAAACGTATATACTGCATTTTAATCCCAATGGCTGATGCTATCTCTGGATAAGCTGAATTTCTTTTTCAATGGGAAGGGTATTGGACGAGAGAGAAGAATCACAGAATAGCAGGGTGTTTGAGCTGAGAGAAACTGGGGATACAGAGAAAGTAAGAGAAAACACAGATGGAATGAAAAGCTGGAGAACTGGGATAGAAGGGGACCCAGAATTGTCAATGGATTTCTTTTGGTCTATGCCTAGAAATACATTAACTGTTAGGGAGTCTTCCCTTCAGGAAAGTCTCAGTTCCAGAATCAAATTATAGGACCCAACACATTGTCAAATATTTAAACCTCTAGTGCCATACCATTTGTAGATTTCGAGATCATTACTTTACTACTAGATTGTTAATTACAATGAAGTAATGGCAGACTGGGCTTGTAGATTTTATGGATGCCGCTTCTGTGTGAGTGATTGTTAATACTAAAAGCTTAAACTTTAACTGCATTTTAAGCATCTGGGACTGGAGCGAAAGCGGGAGCTGTGAGTAAATGCTTTCAGCAGGTATGTAGTTAGTTATTAAAATGGGCTTTGAAGCTCTCTTTTGGTGTATTTCTGCATATTTTAAGGGTCCAGGCCAAAAAGAAAAAAAACACTTTTTTTTTAATGCACTTAATTTGGATTTCATTGAATTTTCTTCACGCACTGATGTTAGGATATTTTGACAAATGTAATTCCCCAACCCCTCTGTATGAAAGAAAAGAAACTCTTTTTTGAAGAGATTTAGAAAGGGGAAGAAAAATCCTTTTTAAAAGGCTTAAGGGTAAGGAGGGGTAAAGCGAATAAGTGGTAGGGGAGGCTTTTATTTTCTAAAGCTCAAATTCCAAAGAAGAAGGACAGTCCACGTAAGAACTGAAACTAATTTACCTGAACCCTTTGTCACTGCCTGGCTCTTGACTATTAAATGATTCTTTTCAGTAGCCAATAAAACCAAATCAAAAGCATGTTTTGGATGGAGGGGTGGTGCCAGGCAATTCCCCCCACATGAAAAGCCAAACTATGCTGTGTTTGTTTTGGTTTTCCCCTAAGAGGATTTTCAGAGAAGGGGCTGGGGTTTGGGCCACCCTCCTTGGCCCCACTCCTATGAGGGAATATAGGGGACTGTTTCGTTCTCGTCCACGAAGCTAAACTGCCCATCGGTATTACCCAAAAAGGAAAGAGAAAGTGCCTGCCCTGCAGTCAGGTCTACAAACCCTGATGTTTTGTCTTTGTTTCCCTCTCAAAGGCTGTTTTAAGATCCCTGCCAATGCAAAGACTTGGGGAACTGTTTGTCACTTTTCAGAAAACAGCTCAGACTTTCTGGGCCTTAATATCCCTACCTTTAAACAGCACCGATATTCACTGCCTTCTGTCTTCGAAGATGCTAGAGATGTTGTTTTCAAAGATTTGGGAATCCTTAAAAGCAAAGAGCTACATAAAAATACAGAGATTAAAAAAAATGGCAGCCCACTTCTTTCCATTCCTGATGCCCAGTTTGGTTTGAATACGTAAGAATTCTGTAACAGTGCCTAATAACGATTACTAATAACAAAAGTATCTAACACAGAGTGGGCCTTCAATATTGAATATTTAACCTTAGTAGAGGTATTAGCCTTTCAAACTCTTCCCATCTTTAAACTGGAAGGGAATTTTTGCCCTATTTTATCAAGTAGTGGAAGACATGAAGATAAGACAGTTCGATAATTACAGTCCCCGGAATTTCCATGCTTGAACAAGGATTTGAGGTACCTTATTTCAAGTCTCTTTTCCAGACAATGAAATGCACCCAATTGAAAAATGGATGAACTAAAGCTTTTCTCTGCTCTCCCGTCCAAATTAGATTGGTTACTCAATTTGACTGAGTGCTTAGAAATTAGTCAATAAGGCAACTAATTAATAATTTGACTGGGGGGAAAAAGTCAATTTCTCAGCCGCACACAGGCACAAGTCTGAGGGCTTCCTGAGGCACCTCGCCACATGCCTCCAGCAATACCTTGCCGCATTGAAAATCTGCAGGCTGAGTTAAAAAGGGAATCCTGGGTTCAGTTCACTTTATATTAGGCCTTTACTTCTAGTGGAATAGCATAGTAGAGGAATATGATGTGCAGAGAAAAAAGCAGTGAGAGATAGTTAATACAAAATAGAATAATATATTGTATATATTGTATGTAATATATATTTATAAACTACATTGCAAAAAAATAATAATATGGTCTTATAATCATGATGTAGCAAGTATTTATTATGTGCCAGGTATTATGCTAAGTAAGCACTCTGAATACATTATCTTATTTAATCCTGTGATCACACAATGAGGTAGGTACTATGATCCCCATTTTACAGGTAAGGAAACCGAGGCCCAGAGAGCTGAACCACTTACCAACCAAGAAAAAACAGCCAGATTTTGAAACCAGATTCACGGATCCCAAATCCTGTTTTCCAATTCTTCTCTACAAACACGGGGAAAATTAACCAAGGGACTCATTGCCAATTTTCCGCCTGCGCAGAGGAAAACTGGCATCCTGGACTAACCCTAATTTGGTATGTGGCCAGGGACAAGGCATAGTGAGCCTCAGGTTCCCATGGACAAAACCAGGAAGGTCCTCTAGCAGTGGCTTCATAAAATAGCCTTATCATTTAATGCATCTGGTTCTACCAAGAAACATGTTTTTTAAGAAAATATCACATTAATTAAGAAAATATCTGGTTGTATTCAGAAGATGGCAAAACTTGAAAAGACACTAGGATTTTTTTTAATGTAGAGTGAACCTTAAGTGAACATTTAGACAGCCTTCGTGATTTAGTTGTTAAGAACAAAAACCAGCCTAGGTTTGATTCAAGCTCTATAACTTCCTGGGAAAGTGGGGCTTCACCTCACTGAGCCTCACTTTCCTCATCTGTAAGACTGGAATAATAGTATTAACACATACATACATACCTCATAGAATTGTTGTGGGGATTAAGTGAGAAGATGCTTATATTGCGAACAGCAAAGTGCCTAGCACACAGCAAATGCTTAGTAAGTGGTACCTAGAATATGGATGATGGTAATGGAGTTGATGATGAGGATGATGGTGATGTTGATGGTGATGATGGCATGATAATGTTGGTGAAAATGGTGATGATGGGAATGATGACGATTATATATGATGATTGGGGTGATAATGGTGATAGTGGTGTTCTTAGCAAAAGGGTTGATGGTAATGGTGTTAATTTACTCAGTTTACAGATGAGACAATTGAAGCCCCAAAGTCACATGCTAATAACCAGCTGAGTGGAGACTAGAAATCTATTTCCTGGTGCTGGCCCATTGCCTTTTCCATTGCCCCATGCTAAAAATAAGTGGAGTAGGATTTAGCTGAAGGAAGCTGGGAACTGCAGGTCAGAGCTGAGAACCAGCAGCTTCAGCCTTTTCTCCTCCACCCCCAGCTCATTTTACAATGCCAGAGAAATCACTTTGTCCTCACCAGACCTCATACCCTGCCTTTTATGGACGATGCCACCATCTGATGTTTAACTGAGAGGTAAGGGGAGAAGGTGAGTTGAGGAAAGCTACTTTTTAACCAATAAGTAGCTCCCAGTGATTTGAGTGCAGCTGATCTCACACTGCATTTTGAGAAATTCTCCCTGGGGGAATTGATTTACTTTCTGGTTTCAGCCCAAGAGATAAAAATAATCCATTGAATTTGTCAATTTCATTTTCCAGATGGGGCTAAGTGGTCCCTCAAGGGGCTTGTGATGAACCATGTGAGAAACCAGAGTTGAAGGAAAAGAACAGAATGAGAAAGAGGAAAAAAAAAACATAGATGCTACATGCCAAGCAGTAGCAGCAGAATTGACATTTTAGGTCAGCACAGATTCCCAAAGAGCACTGAATTTTCCTAATAATGAGAGAAATTGGTTTTAGGATTCAAAGGAACCACACCATCAGGGGACAGTTGCCCCAGGAGTCCAAGGCTAACAAATAGGAAGAACAGGCAATACATTTTCCCTGAGTTATCCATGGCAGACATTGCTAACAGATAGTGGCATTCTCCACCAAGCCCAAAGCAGCCTCCCAGTGTCTCTGAATCCTAGAGCTCCAAGCAGCCATGAGCAATCAATCAGAGTAGACACAGAGATGAAAACTATTTTCTACTTGGCATGTGAGTGCAAGACCAGTAAGCGATTCATAAGGTCTTGAACCAAACAAACAAACAAAAAAAAAAAAACAATAATAGACTAGATCGGGGAGGGGTTATCATGTCAGGTAAAAAAACACATAGGAGCTCCAAGGATTTAGGCTTCCTAGGCTGGTCACATCCCAAATATCGTAGGTGATAACTCATTCATTTATTATTTACTTATCCATTCACTTGCTCGTTCATTCATTCACTCATTCACTCTCTCACTCATTCACTTTCTCATTCCCTTGGTCATCATTTTTAAATTCGACAAATATTTGCAAATCGACAAATCCTGGATGCTGGAAGTGTAAAAATGAATTAGACAGACCCAACTTCTATCTACGTGGAGCTTATAGCCTAAGAATATTTTTTCTTAAAAAAAAAAACTAAATTTAACAATTACACAAATAATTGTTTTCAGTTGTGATCATTGCAAGGAAACGTAGAAGTACTAGATACTTTGAGAGCATAGATCAGGGATTTGGCTTAGTTCAGCAGGGAAAGATGGAGGTAGAAATCAGGGCAAACTTCCCAGAGAAAGGAACATTTGAGCTGAACACTGAAGGATGAGGAGTTCACGAGGCAAAGAGGGGAAGAGGGTTTTCCAGGTGGAAGGAAAGACTTCTGCAAAGGCCTGGAGGTGGTAGAAGGACAGCACATTGCTGAAAGTAAGAGAAGGTCAGAGGGATGGGAGCCCAGAGAGTGAGGAGAGGAATAATGTGAGATGATGCTACAGAGGTGGGCAGGTAGCAGTGTCCCCTTTCAAATACGAGCCCAAGAGTGACCCGCATCTGCTAAAAATACTTCAGTGACTGTCCCTTGCCCTCAAAAGAAACTCCAAACGTCTTACCATGCTCTGGTCCTACTCACCTCTCCAGCCTTACCCAACGCCAGCCTTTCTCACGGAAGACACAACCTAGACTAAACGTCCAGGTTCTTGAAGAGAAAACACTCAAATGTAAGCCCTGTAAGAGCAGAAATGAAGTCTGCTGCATTTCCTGCTGCATCCTTAGTGCCCAGGGTCCTTGGTACAATGCCAGGCATAGAAGATGAACTTGAGAAATACTGTAAATGTAAAGATGAGTGATTTTTTGACCCCACCCTTGGCACAGTGCCTAGAACATGGCATTGTATGTTTAAATACTAAAAGAGAAGAGGAACAAAGAAGGGAGGGATGGAAAGAAGGAATAAAGGCAACAAAGAAAGGAAGGGAAGGGAAGAAAGAAGGGAAGGGAGGGAGGAAGGGAAGGGAGGGAGGGGAGGGGAGGGGAGGGGAAAGAAAACTACACATATAGGTGTTGGGGAGAGGAATACGCCAAAAACCAAGGTTTTTGAAGCTCTAATTCCCACATAAAAAGACCCAGTCATCCTAAAGTTTTCAAGAACAAAGTATTTAAAAAAAAAAAAAAGAGATTTGTATTCACCAGCCTGGAAACACAGGGGCCAGTAGCAAGGAGAAGGCGGCCTGACTGTCTGTGAGATGGGTGGGGCCCATTTGGACGCTTCAAGCCAAAAAGCATTTTTGTGGCCTCATAATTTCTGAATGCTCTTAGCGAGGCTAACTGGCTCCAGGCTCAGTCTCCTGCAAAAACTCATCTTTGCAATTCCTCAGTTCAACCTCATGCAAACGGGTCAAGCTATCTGTTGGGCCTCAGTTTCTCCATCTGTAAAATGAAGTAATTAGATTAGATCATCTCTAATCTAACCTTAACACTGAGTCAAGCCTCTCTTAGGTACTCTTCTCAGAGTGTCACATCAGCCCTAAAAATAATAATTATGATGATATAATAATAGTAATTATTATTATACTAGCTACCACTTTTTGAAACACTTTTTATTTCATCTTCACAACTATCATATTAGGACACCTATGATCTCTATTTTACACATGAGGAAATTGAAGTTCAGAGAGGTTATGTACCTTGCTCAAAGCAGTGCAGCCAGTAAGGAGAAAAGTTGGAATTTGATCTCAGACATGTCTGAGCCCAAACTCATGCTCCTCAAACCTCTATCCACAGCTCTAGCAGGTCCTGACAGAGCCAGTGTTTACAGAGCACAAACACAAGCACAGATCCCCTAGTTCTTGCAGAAGGCAGGGAGAAAACAGGAAGGGAAATGTTTGCAGTGATAACATCGTTAGTGTTGTCTGCCCAGCCTCCCTTCTACCGTTTTTGTTTGTTTTTTTTTTTTTTTTCTGGTAAAAGGGCCCCTCCCACATAAAACAGGGTTTTGGAGAATGTAGTTCCCCAGCTCCATGTGATTCTAATGGAACCACCAATCACAGAACCCCACAGTGGCAACAATCACGTGTGACATGGGTCCCATGACCAAAGCCTGCACAATCATGGTATAGTAAGCCATCTCCTGGCTGCAGTGATTGGTTCAAGTAGTGGACATGTGACCCAAGACAGGCCAATGAGAGCCCTTCCATGGTCTGAAGTGGCTAGGAAGGGGGTCCTCTTTCCTCTAAGGATGGTAAGCTGAGATGATAGAAACTTAGAGTTTCCTGTGACCTTGTCCCACTGCCATGTGACCCACTGTGCCATGGAAAAGAAGTACCCGTTGGAGGGGAGAATATGATCAACAGAGAAGCTGCGATTAGAGATGGAAAAAACGAGCCCTCATCTCATGGGTGGGCTGCTGAAACCAGTTCTATACCTGTCATTTCCAGGTATTAAGCCAATAAGGGTTTGAACTTGGATTCTATCATTTGCAATCAACAGAGCTCCAAGAGACTTTTGACCAGCATTCCACAATTGCTGCCATATCCCATCACACACACACATACTATCTACTACTTAGAAATTTTAAACAGATCTGAAAAGGGGTATTAAGGAGAAAACAGGTGAGGGAGAAGCACTGAGAGAAAATAGGCCCAAAATTGCCACTTGCTTCCCATCTTGTCCCAGTTGGGTCTCTGACTCATATGGTGGCTCACGCATCAATAACATATGAGCTTGAATGTCTCCAGAAATAAATGGCTATGCTTTACCAAACAGTTACTACTTTTTTCTACTTTAGCTCATTTAAAACCCCAAATAATCTCAAAACAGAATAGATATGTCCATTTTTCAGGGAGAGAAAATTGTGGCATACAGGAATTAAGTTGCCACACAACTAGTATGTGGCAGAGTCTGGAGTTTTGAACCCAGATCTGTGTCACCTAAATTCTTTTTTTTTTTTTTTTTTTTTTTTTTTTTTTTTTTTTTTGAGACGGAGTCTTGCTCTGTCGCCAGGCTGGAGTGCAGTGGCACAATCTTGGCTCACTGCAACTTCCACCTCGCAGGTTCAAGCAATTCTCCTGCCTCAGCCTCCCGCATAGCTGGGACTACAGGCACGCACCACCATGCCCAACTAATTTTTGTATTTTTATTAGAGATGGGGTTTCAGCACATTAGCCAGTATCGTCTCGATCTCTTCACCTCGTGATCCGCCCACCTCGGCCTCCCCAAGTGCTGGGATTACAGGCGTGAGCCACTGCGTTTTGCCAGTTCTCTTCCTTTATTAAAACTACATCAGATGGTCTCCATCAATGACACGTAAGTTTGGATGCCAGTACTTTGATATGTCAAGGGGGTTGCCTGAGCCCAGAAGGTCTGGAATTGACCCTAAGACATCCTGATACACGATGTTTCTTTTCAGGCTTGTAGGTAAAGCTTGATCCTAAAAGAAAACATCCCCAGGACAGTGGCTGCCGATGTTCAGCAAGCTGCCTTCATTTCCAGGAACCAGTGCCTCTGTGCATAGAGGGCAGGCAGTTAGCAACATTCAGCCACTTGCTATTACAAAGGCGAAGATATGAAAATGAGGGTGTCTGATGGATGTGGTATAAAGCAGGACAGAGGCCTTTGAAAGCAGAGAGAATGAGGAAAATGAAAGATAATATTCTTGTCACTTGCACTGCTTTGAATCCGCAATCTAAAAGCGCTTTTCAACATACTCTCAGCGTTACTTTTCATCCTGGGGGAGAAAGACAGAGTTTCTGATGACCCTGACTTCCAGATTGGTTCTAGGTTGGTTTCTTGGTCAAGAAAAACAATAAAGCAGAAATTAGGAGTCAGTTGACTGTTCTGTTGTTCTCATAGCAATCTGTGCTTAAGCTATTTATTCCAACAATATTTCTTGAACATTTGCTATATGCCAGACACTCTTCTAGGCACAGCTGTGAATGAGACAGGCTTTCTCAATGTCATCTTTCTGAACCACAGATCTGATCATGTCACGCTCCTTGTCTCCCTTCAGTGACTCCTCATTGCCCACAAGATCAGTTCCAAAGAACTCAACATGGTAGCCAAGGCCATTCATTGTTGGGTCTCTTCAATTTAATCTCTTACTTTTACTTGTTTCCCATTCCCATCCCTTCTGATCCATGCTGTAGTTGCACCAAAATTCTGTTTCCCCAGCCCCCAGGCATTTAAGCCTGCTGTCCTTCTTCCTTGGAGTGGTCTTATTGACAATACCATTATTGTCCTCTTGCCCACTCATTGCCTCCTTAACTTACTCATGTCACTTCTCCAGGAATCCTTCTTGATTCCCACCTTCTCCAACAGTGTAAAGCATCTATAAATGATATTGTTGTTTTGTCAAATTCACGTATCTTTTCCTCTTCTCTAGTAATAGAAAACCCCTGCTCCTTTGGAGAATGCATTCGATGGAATTCAAGTGGGGCTCTTCTAGGCTTTCTAGGCCATGCACAGGTGACTTGAGCCTCGACTGTCCCTGAGCTGACTATCACCAAGACCTCACTGTTCTCTAAGTGCCACAAGAGAAGGACATAGAATGCCTGTATGCTTCACTGATCTTACCACAGCACCTGAAACAGGTGGATAATCCACCAGGTGGAATATCTACAAATATATTTTGAATAAATAATCTAAATAGTGCTTTAAAATGTGATAAGGCTAAAAGCAGCTGAGGTTTCTCCCACTAAAAATCCTTATTTCAGTTCTCAGAGGACCAAATTTCAAGTTAGAGTGACCTGGGTTCAAATCCTAGCTTTGCCACCTAAGAACTTAGTGGTCTTGGGCAAGTGGCTTAACCTCTCCAAGGTTCAGATGAGATGACATATGCAAGATGCTTACAGCAGGTGCTGGCACACAGTAAGAATCAGTAAATGTTGGCAGTCTGAGGTCTTATTTAAATTAAGGAAATAATACCCTGGATAGCAGATAACCGCATGGAGTGGTGGGAAGTTCACTGCCCCAGGAGAATGGAGACTTTGATGGGTTACCCAGCTCTGTGGTTTACCAGCAACATGCCTTTGAGCAAGTCATCCCCTTTCCTGAACCTCCAATTCCTTATATATAGAATGCAGATAATGACATCTGCTGAGCCTGACTTGTGGGGTTGTTATGAGGCTACAAATGAGATTGTGCTCCTGAGGATTTAAAAAGCACAAAATACTGAATATGTGAACTTTTTTTTTACTGTAATTACTATGATCCTTCTAGCAGTCTCAATCTAAATTCTTATATTTTGTTCTTCCCAGCTACAGACATGAGCATTTGGTTTCTGGATCATTGATCTATGAGTCAGGATAGGTTTGCTGCTGTAACAAACATCCACAGTATCTAATAACCTAACACAATGGAAGCTCGTGTCATGGTGTACTCTGGTGGGGGTGGGGGCAGGGGGACCCTGCTCCCTATAGACTTTCAGTGACCCAGGCCCCCTATCTTGGCATTCTCAGCATCTGCAACACTTGGCTTCCAGGGTTTCCGTGAAACGTGGAGAGAGTAACTAGTAAAGGGCTCAGCAAATTACAACCTGTGGGCCAAATCCAGTTCACCATCTCTTTATTGGTGTAAATAAAGTTGTATTGGAATATAGCCATGCTCATCCATTTACATATTGTCTATGGCTTCATTTGTGCTACTGTGGCAGAGTTGAGTAGTTGGGACAGAGACTTCATGGCCCAAAAAGCCAAAAATACTTACTATTATTACAGAAAACGTTTGCTGGCTCTTGAACTGGAAGACCATGCCAGGGTTTTATGGCCCAGTCTGGAAAGGAGCATACATCACTTTTGTTCACATCTTGTTGGCCAGAACTCAAGGACATGGTCTCAGCTGCAGAGAAGGCTGGGAAATGTAGTCTTCTTGTGTGGCAAGAGGAAAATGAGGCAGAGTTTGGCGGTCTCGTGGTATTGTCTCTGCCATGATGTTATTATATTAAACAAATACATTTTGAGGCCGGGCACAGTGGCTCACGCCTGTAATTCCAGCACTTTGGGAGGCCAAGGCAGGAGGATCATTTGAGGTCAGGAGTTTGAGACCAGCCTGGCCAACATGGTGAAACCCCATCTCTATTAAAAATACAAAAATTAGCAGGGCATTTTGGCAGGTGCTTGTAATCCCAGCTACTTGGGAGGCTGAGGCACAATAATCGTTTGAACCTGGGAGGCAGAGGTTGCAGTGAGCCAAGATCGTGCCACTGCACTCCAGCCTGGGCGATAGAGCGAGACTCTGTCTCAAAACAAACAAACAACAAATATGTTTTGAGCACCTAAATTACAAGGCATTTTAGGGGGCCCTGAGGCTGAAAAGATGAATCAGACAGGAATACATTACCAAGGAGATCACCTCAACTTAAGGAGGTAGACAGATAATGAGGCAAGGACGATAACAGTGACAATAACAGTCAAATATCATCAAGGCTTTATCACACGGTGGATGCTTGCTAAGCTTAATGTGCATCATCTCATTTAATTGGCACAAAAACTCTAACTTCAGATCTATTATCCTCATTTTCAAATGAAGAAACTGAGTCACACAGTTGGTGATTGAGTAAAAAGAAAATAAAGGCCAGATTCAAACCCAGATCTGTCTGACTCCAATGCCTGAACCCATGAGTGCTTTGCTAAATAGCTGCTCTACTTACAATTCTCAATGGTACTGCTAGGAAGGACATGCATAAGATACTGTGGGAAGGGCTTCTGTGACTGTCAGGGTCCCAGCAAGAAGCAGGTGGCAACTTGAAGAGAGTTTATCAGAAGAAGGTTTAATGAGCAGACTCTTTGCAGAGATGTGCCAGGGTTAAGGGAACAAAGAAGGTTTGGTGATGCATCCATGGACTAGCTGTAGTTCAGAGCTGTTGCCACCCGTGGGCTTAAAACGGTGTGGGTTGGAATGGTGTCACCAGAGCCTGGTAAATGCTGGATCTCTAGAAGTGGGGCCCCTTGACAGGCAGTCATTGCACAGTAAGGCAGGGAGTGGAAAGTTGATTGAATAAACGCCTCGGCCTTCTCTCCCTCACCCTCCAGTCACCTGCTGGTGCCTCCTATTGGCCAAAGCCAACAGGAAGTGGGCACTGAGCAGTGCGGAGGACAACAAAAGGAATAATCAACACAGTCCCTAAACTAATCTTTACGATGGCTTTCAAAGAAGTCCCAGAGAAATTGTATATGCCTTTGGAAATTGACGTATGAGCACAAATATCACAGTCATGGACCCATTACAACATCCTCACCAATGTCACTAACCTACAGGAAATTTTCCTTTGTATTACAAATGAGGTATGTATTGAATGGAAGGGCAGGGCAGCCAACTGCTTGCAATATCTTACCCATGTGACAGCTTTCCTCTTTTTGTTTTGTTTTGTTTTTTAAGAGTAAACTGGAAAGCTAGGAACAGAAGTGGAGTTGGGGACCAGCCTGTTTCCCACTTTGTGATATGCTGTTTATCCTGAGAAATTGACAAACATCCAACTTCAGCCTCAGATTGAGAAACTTTTAGAGTGGCCATTCCTCCCGAATTTTCAACTCACGTCCACCTAATTGCTGCTCACCTTCCCAGGGTCTGTCCAGTCAGGAACAGTTTCAGAATGTGGCTTTTTCATCCCAGCTGCTTCCACAATTCTAGGGCCCTTTTTCCTCTTCAGAAGATTGACAACTGGACATCTATTGCCCATTTGAAAAGAACCTACCTACAATGGCCTTTGACCAAGCAGGCCTGCATTCAGAACTAAATAGTCAACGAAAGGGCACATTTTCCAACCTCAACCCAGCTAGCTAAGAGTTTCCCATGATACCTTGAAGAGCATCACTTTGCCACATCCTCTACCCTTCTCTGTATCTATGGGCTAGCCTGGGTTGAAACTGCTAAAATAAAAGACAAAGGAATGCTTCCTCATTATTTCCACTTTGTGTGGTTTGAAATGCTTACCTTTGGCCAGGCGTGGTGGCCCATACCTGTAATCCCAGCACTTTGGGAGGCCAAGGCAGATGGATCACAAGGTCAGGAGATTGAGAACATCCTGGCCAACATGGTGAAACCCCATCTCTACTAAAAATACAAAAAAAAAAAAAAAATAGCCAGGCATGGTGGCGGATGCCTGTAGTCCCCGCTACTCAGGAGGCTGAGACAGGAGAATCACTTAAGCCCGGGAGGCAGAGGTTGCAGTGAGCAGAGGTTGCAGTGAGCCAAGATCCCACCATTGCACTCCAGCCTGGGTGACAGAGCAAGACTCCGCCTCAAAAAAAAAATGCTTATCTTTGCCATATTCTTCTCATGGAATTCGATTTAATGAAGTGTTTTAATTACCTAGAAGCTCTGAAACATTGGTGGAGTTCCCTAGAGTGAGCATGATTATTCCTGAATTGGATGACTGAAAGTAAGGTTAATTTTAGGAGAAAAAAAAACTGCCTGACTTCCTTTCTGTCAAACCCAATCAGTTTCTTTCACCAGCCAAAATGCAGCATTGAATGTATCTGAACACCATTCCTTGGTGCCCACCTGTGATCTGAAGTTCTGCTGATCAGGCAGAACTGCCTGGTGGGTAAGAGCATGAACTTTAGAATCAGAAAAACCAGCTATGTGACCCTGAAGAAGCTACCTGGATTCTTAGAGTTCGTTTTCTAACAGGTAAAATGGGGTCCATGGTTGCCCTAGTTGGTATCCTGATTGTTCTCATTGGTGTTCTCCTGAAAGCAGAGCCTTAGTCATGAACCTGTGTACAGGTAATTTACTTGGAAGGTGATATCAAGAAGGAAGAGTGAGCAAGTGACAAGGAAAAATGCCATTTTATGACTGTATTTTCAAGATCATTGCCCTAGGCAACAGGGTCTTGATTTTGCAGGGACCTCCAGAGGAGTGCACGAAATGCCTCCCAGGTCTATGCCCATGGAGAATGGGAGGTTAGAGTATTTATTCAGCTAGTCCCTGCACTCCTAGACAGAGCTTGGCTGCCACCTAGCAGGCTCAGTGTTAGAAATGACCCAGGACAAATGCAGAAACAGAGAGCAAGTCCCTGAGACTGCCAGCTTAAGGTGAGTCTAAGTTCACGGGGGAACTATCCACTGCTGCTGAGGCTGAAACCAGAGTTGACTGGTAATGTGTACCATGGCATCTGTGACATGTGCCTAGAATTCTAAAACAAAAATGAGATGAGCACAGCTCCTGGCAGATTGTAAGCACCCAGTAAATAACAGCTGCAAGTGGTAGTACTAAGTAACTTGGCAATTCCACAAGTATTACTACATGGTCAGCCAATCTAACAAATGGGTTTCTTCCTTTCATGTGCCAACTCTGATCCATTGGGATTGGCTGCTCTATTGTGGGAAGGATTCTGAGACACTATCTGAACTCAGTGGGAAGAAGTACGGTGATGGACTATTGATGTCTGCCATGAGAGTGGGGTGGAGAGCAGTGGTACATAGGCTGCAAATCTTATATGGCCAGTTTTTAGAATATGCTATTTCAGCTGGGTGTGGTGCCACTTTGGGAGGCTGAGGCAGGTGGATCACTTGAGGTCAGGAGTTTGAGACCAGTCTGGCCAACATGGTGAAACCCTGTCTCTACAGAAAATACAGAAATCAGCCAGGCCTGGTGCACGTGCCTGTAATCCCAGCTACTTGGGAGGGTGAGGCAGGAGAACCAATTGAACTCGGGAGGCAGAGGTTGCAGTGAGCCGAGATCATGCCACTGCACCCCAGCCTGGGCGACAGAGCAAGACTCCATCTCAAAAAAATAAATAAATGAAATGAAATAAAATAGAATGTGCTGTTTACTTCTGCAAGTTTTTCATGTCATACCTAGAGGGTAAGCATCTTCATCTGTAAAATGAGGATGATAACATGCTTGACCTTCCTGTTTCGCAGGCAGACTTTGAAATCCTAAGTTTGAAAGTGTTTGGAAGGATACAGGCTGCATATTAATGTGAGAGCTTTTTAGTCAGCTCTCTCCTTCCCACTTCATGGTGTTCTTCTGAAAACACCTTGGGGGTAAAGTGGCTCCCTAAGCAGACAAACCTGGTTCTCTTCATCTACTTGAAGGTACTGAAGGATACTGATTCATGGCTCACAGACTCTTACATGTGGCAATGGACCTTGTCAGTAAGTTGTTTTTCTCTGCCCATCACCCTTTAACTTTTCTCATAGTAAAATAGTCCCTGAATTCCTTTGTGGACCCTCCATATAATCAGTCCATATGGTTTGGAAAGGCTTAATGACCCTACTCTTGCTCCAGAAACAATACTTTTATTGGTCTTTCTAAGCCAAGTCAGCAAACTATAGCCTATGGGTCAGTCATCTGTTTTTACAAATATAGTTTTATTCAAAGATAGCAATGCCAATTCATTTAATTATTTTCTATGACTTTTTTCATACACTAACAGCAGAGTTTTGTCATTGCAATAGAGATCACATGGTTCACAGCCTAAAATATTATCTGGCCCTTTAAGAAAAATATGCCAATCCCTGGTCTAAGTTAGTCATACTGCCCATTTCCTGGATACCATGATTGGTTCATAGATAAAATTTAACCCAAATCAGGCCAATGAAGCTCAAAGTTCTCTTTCCTTTGAACATGAGGCTGAGAGGATGTGAGGTCTGGAGCCCTTACTGCCATTTTGCAGTTATGAGGAAGGATTCATCTCTCTTCCTTCAGGGATCAAGTAGAGGAGGCAAGACCTACACAATTGACATACACAATGGAAACCATAGAGTAACTAAAATATAAGGCTTTGGAAAGATACTGCATAGATAAACAATGTTTAGAGGAAGCTTCAGGGAGGTAGTATGATTGAGGCTGGACCTAAGAACTAGCAGAATTTGAACATAAGGAAAAAAAGAAAAGGATGTATCAGGTTGGCAGGGAGGCATAGCATGAACAAAGACATGGGTGGGAGTGAGTAGAGAAGATTGGTGGTGTTATAAGGAGTGCCTTACTGGGGAGAAAACTATTCAAATCAGGGGCATTTGAAGCCACATTCAACCACTATGGAGACCCTTCTTTCAAGCTTCAGGCTAAAAAGATATTCCCAGAAGCTTGAATGATATAAATTGAAGAGATTCATAGACATAAAATACTAGCAATAGCAATGACAATTGTGACACAGCAGCTCATCATCCCGGGTGCTCATGGGTTTTCTTCTGAGGGTGGACTGCAGTCCCCAGCTGGAGGAGTCACTGGACGTGCACTAAGCACCAGGCTTTGTGCTAACTGGATTCCTCAACAGTTCTCTGAGGCACTCCCTGTTCTTATACCCATTTCACAGAGGCAGAAACCAAGGCTTCGACAAGTTCAATGATGAGCCCACAGTCACGCAGCTGGCACATGGCAGGTTTCTGGACCAAGCTCACTACCACCACTTCTCAGCAACGTCACTGCCTTTCCCTCCTAGCCCCCTTGTTGCTGGTATGTGAAGGAAGTCATGGAAATACCTACATTTCTAGAATGTGCTCCCTCCTCTGCACCCTTCTGTGCCTCTGTGGCTTATGTTATCATGGGGGGCTAGTGATGACATTCTATTTACCTGGCTACAGCTCAGTCCTTGTGTGGAAATTTCCATGCTGGAGGCATTTCTCTGATAAGGTGAGAGAGGATTAAGGGGACACTGCAGCATTCCCAGGGGGACAGACGGCACCCAAATGCCCGTTCAGGCCTCCGATGCCCATTCCTGAACCATCATTCCCAGAATAGAATCCAGACTCATCACTATGGCCCAAGGTCATTCAACCTTGGAATCCAGACTCATGAGAACCGTCTCTTATTCCCTCCTCTACCCTCTAGGATTCCTTCCTCCTTTCCTATTCCTTTTTTTTTTTTTTTTTTTTTTTAAATATTAGACACAGGGTCTCACTCTGTCACCTGGCTGGAATGCAGTGGGGCAATCATAGCTTACTGCAGCTTCCAACTCCTGAGCTTAAGCTATCCTCCTACTTTATCCTCCTGTGTAACCGCAACTACAGGCATGTGCCACCGTGCACGGCTAATTTTATTAGCCTGTGTAAAAGCTGCAGAATTGCAGGTGCTTCCTGCTGACCATGACATTTCTTATTAGCCGTGCATGGTGACACATGCCTACAGCGGCACTTTTCATGTTTAATTCCTCACTTATCAAGCTCCATCTGCTGGAGCTATGAACCCAGCCAATGAGAGGTCATGCTATGTTGCCCAGGCTGGTCTCAAACTCCTGGGCTCAACCAATTCTCCCACCTCGGCCTCCCAAAGTGCTGGAATTACAGGAGTGAGTCATCATCATGCCCAGACCCCCATTCCCATTCTTGAGCCCTTGAAGAAGGCTCAGTCAGGGGCTCCCCAGGAAGCAGCATTCTCTTTTCTCAGGAGCCCAACCCAAGATGGCCACTACCTGCCTGGAGATTACTCAGATGAGACTCATGCCTTAACCTTTGCTCTGAGGTCTTGGTCAGCAGGAAGTACCTGCAATTCTGCAGCTTTTATACAGGCTTATTATCTCTTGTTGGCAGGATTCACCGCTCCAGCAGATGGAGCTTGATAAGTGAGGAATTAGATATGGAAAGCCCCACTTGGCTGGGGGAACAGAAGGAGGAGCCGACTGCCTTTGCTCCCACCTGTCCGCTGTGCCTCTGTTTCTCAACGCTATATCTTCATTTTTCCACATCAGATATGATTGTGAAAATTCAAATATAAAGAAAATAAAAATGTCCACATAATCCCTTCTCCCATCCATATCCACAGTTACCAGTTTGATGTATTCGTCCAGCCTTTTAAAGACATTTTTAGATAAACTAGATTATACTACACATATTATTTTGTTAACTAAATTTTTCACTTGCATATAAAACAGGCATGTCTCCATAGCAATATAAAAATATTGACATCATTTTTTGAACAGTCACCCATTTATTCTATTGTTTGGATATACCATAATTTATTTACCCCATTTCCAGTAACAGACATTAAGGTTGCCTTCAGTTTTTCAGTATTATAAACAACACAGCAGTGGACATCTTTGCCCATACATCTTTGCACCCCTATCCTCAGTTTTATTTCTTTGTTTTTGTTTTGGAGTCCATTCCTGGAAGCCATGACTGCAAGGTCAAATGGGGCTCACATGTTTAATTAAGGCTTTCCTCTAAATCTAATTCTCAATTTTTTTGTCCCACCAGCAGTATGTAAAAATGCCAGTTATTCCACATCATTGGCCTTTATATAAGGATGCAGCACTGAGGGTTTTATTTTTACCTTTTTAGTCTTAAATAAAAAGTTGTACAAAAAACAGTACAGAAAGTTCCAGTATACTCTTCATCCACCTTCCCCTCGTGTTGACATCTTATATAACCACAGCATGATTATGAAAACCAGGAAATTAACAGCGGTACAGGACTATCAATTAATCTACACAGTGTATTTGGATTTTACCCATTTTTTACTAATTTTTTTCTCTATTCCGGGATCCAATTCAGAATCCCATCTGACATTTAGTTAACGTGTTTCCTTAATCCCTTCCAATACGTAACAATTGCACTTTCTTTCTTTGCCTTTTTATGGCACTTTAAAAGAGGACTGCCCAGTTATGTGGCAGAATGGTCCTCAATTTGGATTTGTTGACTTTTCTTATGATTGGATTGGGGTCATGCATCGTGGACAAGAACATGACAGAAACGACATTGTGTCCTTCTCAGTGCATTGTGTCCAGAAGCTCAAGATGTTACAATGTCTAATTACTGGTGATGCTAACTTTGGTTACTTAGTGTCATTTGCCAGGTTTCTCCACTGTAAATTACTATTTATGCTTTTGTACTTAATACATGTCTTGGGGGAAGGTAGTATAGTCGGGATCATGCAAATATCCTATTTCTCCTTCAACTTTGGCCCACTTGTCTCAGTATCCATCCACAGATCTTGTCAAATGCAGCATCTTTTAAAAGTTGGACAAATAAATTTTTTTAAGTTATACTTTAAGTTTTAGGGTACGTGTGCACAACATACAGGTTACATAATATTTTTAAAAAGTGGATAAAACATGCCAGATTAAACTAAGCAGTAGACAGTAAGTAGATTAATTTACTAGCAGACTAGGCACGAGCATGGACACTCACCCTAGAAGACATTATTTCCTTTATGGTGAGCACTGCAATGACCCACCCCAGCTGGGAGGTTACCCATTATGGGGCCAGTAACATGGCAGTCTAGCAGGAATACATGGGAAAGGGCTGGCAAGCCGAAGCACTCACCATCTTTCTTTTTCTTTCCTTTTTCTTTTTCCCTCTTTTTCTTTTTCTTATCTGTTTCCTTTTCCTTTCACTTTCATTCTTTTCCTTTTTTTCTTTCCTTCTTTTTCATTTCCTTTTTGCCTTCCCTTCCTCCCTCCTCCTTATCCTTCCTTCTTTCCTTTTTTTCTTCTTTGTTTTATGTGTTTTTCAACATTTACTGCACACCTCTTTTGTACCAAACCCATATTAAGCATCAAATAAAGCATGGTCTCAACCCACTATGCATGGTGGCTCACACCTGTAGTCCCAGCAATTTGGGGGGCTGAAGCAGGAGGATCGCTTGAGCCCAGAAGTTCGAGACCAACTTGGGCAATATAGCAAGACCCTGTCTCTACAACAATAAAAATTTAAAAAATAGCCAGGCATGGTGGTGCACACCTATAGTCCTAGCTACTTGGGAGACTGAGGCCAAAAGATCACTTGCGCCCAGGAGTTCAAAGTTGCAGTGAGCTATGATTGTCCCACTGCACTCCAGCCTGGGAAACAAAGCACGATTTTGACTCTACAAAAAAGAAAATGGTCACAATATATTTCACCAAGGATAGAAAAGGAATACTAATAGAGCATGCAATGACATGACAGCAGGAAAATTACAGCTGGGAGGATCTGTGAGCATGGAGCACTTCCTGTTTATGCTGGAGCCCCAATAACTGTTACCTGTACATTTTGATGGTATATCCAATCAGTGAAATAGTTTTACTATGCACCCATACTACACATATGCTTAGTTTATAAATGATATATTTGTGCAAACCCACAATCCTTTATTCAAAACTCTTGGGTCCAGAGGTGCTTCAGAAATGAGAATTGTTTTGGATTTTAGGAAGAGAAGCTGGTGTGTATATTGAATATTAGTTAACATCCCCATGGAGATATGGGTTAGCACTCTAAACACACACAGAGAAAGAGACAAATATGATCAGTTACTCTAAAGAGAATAAATACTCTCAATGTCCTCATATCTATTCAGATCAGGTATTGCCAAATAAGTGTATCTCAAACTTACCACAAAAACTTAACTTTCAGCGGTTTATAGATTTTAGGTTTACAGACAATGGATTGTGGACCTGTGCTTCTATTATTGGTTAATGTCCCAAAGTATGCTATGTACTGTAGGTAAGATTTATCTTTAGGAATTGTGGCTATAAACCCATATTTCAAATGGTCTTCTTGATAATTTTTAAGATTTTGTCCAGGCCTTAAACTAGGCATTAGAGACATGTCAGTTCTGCCATGTTATTTGTTTGCATTTATGTATCGTCCTGGTTTTACTTCTTCTTTGTTTGTAAGTACTTTCTTGTTTGCAATAGTATCTTTTTAAACGACTTTCAATACTCAGTTATTTTACAGGCATCTTTTCTAAGTTATGATGCCATAGGTTGTTTAGCTGTGGGCACTAAATGCATATCAGCACCCATCAGCTGACATTAGCTCCAGAGGTGACAACCAGCTGAGGAAACACTTTAGAGATGTGATCCCCCTCCCCAACTCTCCTTCCCAAACCAGGCAAGTAGGCAGAGCTTGCAAGGAGGGGGCTCAGCAGGCTCATGTTCAAATCCTGGCTCCACTGCTTGTTAGCAATGTGATCTTGGGTGACTTACTTCACCCCCTGTGCCTCAGTTTTACCATCTGTAAAACGGGGATAGCAGGAGTACCTACCTCAGAGGGTTGTTGCTAGGACTCAGTGAGACCGTGGCCAGAACACCTGGCAGAGAGTAAGTGCTCAATGCACAACAGCAGACTCTACTATTGTCATGCACTTTATCCAGTTGTTTCTGACTGCTTTTGAGGAATGCTTCCTCCACTTTTAGTGTCTTCTTAAGTCACGTTAAGGGCTACCCAGCAAAACCCACTTGATTTAGAGAAGAGCAAACTGAAGTTCCAAGAAGGTGAGTCATTATGGGGAGATGGCAGAAGGGGAAGGTGATGGTTTCCATGCCATTACCTTTTCCACTGATGAATTCTGAATACCAGCAAAATTCAATCAGAACACTTCATAGATTCTACTCTCCATCTGCCTTAGTCAGAACTGTTTTTGTGGAAGTAACAGAAGTCCAACTCAAACTGGCTTAAGCAAAAAAAGCAGAACCTATTAGCTCAATTACCTGAAAAGTCTAGGAGCAGACAGGATTCAGGCATGGCTGGATCCAGGGGCTCAAGTGAAATCATTAGATTATGATACCTCCTCCACTGCCCCCTTATCTTGGAGTCCTATTTTTATTCATCCTCAAGAAAATTCTCTCTGCAGCTCTTATAGTAGCTCTAGCCTTATGTCCTCTCAGATCCAACTCTTCTAAACAGAGAGCACTTCTTTGCCAACAGTTCCACAGGTCCTAGGATGCAATCTCAGTAGACTGGGATGTTAAGTTATGACTGGCCCTATAAAGCAGGCCTCACAGCAAAGATGTAGATAAGGAGACATGACCCCAGTGCTGTGTTCAAGGCCTAGAATGTCAGGGCTTGTGGATGTGGCTTCTGAGTTACAGAATTACTGCCTTATGTGTAATAAATCCTGATCCTGACTGCTGACTTGGTAGACTATAAAAGACAGCAAGTCTGTTCTTCTCAACTTTGACACGGCAAACATCTCAGTCTACTGAGGCCACCAAATGGCCACATGTGCCTCAATGAGATGATGAGGAGGAAGTGGGATCCACCTGCAGGCTTCACCACCTCCAGGTTTTCCTCTTTATCCCTTTATATTGCTTATTAGCTGCTTTAGTTGTGAAACAAAAAGCAAAAGCCACTAAAGTTCAAAGGATTTACTCTTGTCCATCTTCAAACCTGAACTAGACCCTGGACTAAACCTAGGTCTGAACTCACTGGGGTTGGGTCGCATGCTCTTCTCTGAACCAATCACTAAGGGATGGAGTGCTCTGATTGGTCATGTGCTAGTCCCTGGAGTACAGAAGTGGTATGTATCCTACCTGAACCCCCAGACCTAAGACTTAGGTTTTCCTTAAAAAAAAAAATAGTAAAAATAACATGATAGATGCTGGAACCAAAAAAGAACAGGTTCCAGTGTTCCATCTCTGCCAAAGGCATCAATTATTTCCAAGTATCTCAGTCCCCAACTCCATAACCAAGGAGTGGCTGCTGTCTCAAAAAGGACAGAGTCGCAGCCACAAAAAAAGAACAAAATCATGTCCTTTGCAGGAACGTGGATGCAGCTGGAGGTCATTATCCTAAGTGAATTAATACAGAGACAGAAAACCAAATACCACATGTTCTTACTTATGGGTGGGAGCTGAACATTGAATACTCATGGACATAAAGATGGCAGCAATAGACACTCGGGACTACCGGGAGAAGGAGATGGGACAAAGGCTGAAAAACTGTTGGGTACTATGTTCCCTACCTGGGTGATGGGGTCATTCATACCCCAAATGTCAGCATCATGCAATACACCCATGAAACAAATCTGCACATGTATCCTTTGAATCTAAAATGTCGGAATTATTTTTTAAAAGAATAAATCTTTTTTGAATCTAAAATAAATGTTGAAGTTATTTTTCAAAAAAATAGTGTTAGTTGTAGGTGTCCATTAACAGGTTGAGGTAGTTATATCTATTCCTAGTTTGCTGACAGTTTTTTTAATCATAAATGAATGTTAAATTGTAAGTTATTTTTTGCATCTTGTTGGCATTCTAATTTTTCTCTTTCGTTTCTTTCATGCTTTCATGTGGTGAATGACACTGATATATGTTTTCAATATTAAGCTGCCCTTGCATTATTGGGATAAACTGTCTTTGGCCATAATGTATTATTCTTTTTATCTATTACTGGGCTTGACTTGCTAATAACTGTTAAGAATTTTAGTGTCTGTTTTCACATAGAATTATAACATAGTTTTTTCTTGTAATTATTTTCTGATGTCAGAATAATGTTGGCCTCCTGGGAAGTATTAGAGAGTGTTCCCATCTTTCAAATTTCTGAAAGAATTTGTAGTACTTATTCCTTAGATGTTTGACAAAGTTCACCAATGAAGCCATTTTGGACGTGGAATTTTCTGTTTGGGAGAAATTTTAATTATAAATTCAATTATAGAGGGCTCAGCCATGTTCTATATTTTTCTTAAATTTGTTTGTTAATATGTATCTTTCAAGGAGTTTGTCCTTGTAAGGTTGTAAGCTGTCTCAACACAAAATGTTTCAGATATTTCCTTGTTATCATTTTAAAAGAAACTATAGTGATATCTCCCCTTCATTAATAATTTTCCCCCATTTTCATTGATTAATTTACCTAGAGATATATGAATTTTATTGTTCATTACAGAAAATTTATTTTTCTCCGTTGTTTTTCTGGTGTTTAAAAATAATTTCATTGATTTCTGCTGTCTGTTATTATTTCCTTTATTCTATATATTTTGGGTTTAATTTATTCTTTTTTAAATTTAGGATGGGCCTATCTTCTTTCCTAACTGAAATATTTAATGCTATTAATTTCCCCATAACCATTTCTTTAGCTGTATCCCACATGTTTCGAGATACTGTGTTCTCATTTTCATTCAGTTCAAATATTTTCTAATTTCTTTTGGGATTTCTTCGATTCATGTGTTATTAGTATGTTATTTCCAAATTTAAAATAAATTTTAGGTATCATTTGTGATTGATTTCCATTAAACCCACTCTTACCAAAAGGGAAAGAAAAGGACAGTAATTTTATCATCATCAAGTCCATCACCATTACCAGTGCTTGACTTGTGACAGCATTCAGCTGGGTTGTTCAGAAACAGACTTACTAGACAGGATCCTGGCATCCAGGAGATCTGGACTGAAGACAACTATGCCTAATCAACTCTGATCACTTGGTGATGCTCTATAGTGCTGTATCCAGATTGAAGCTCAGTGCGGAAGAGTGCAACAATTGATTAGTAATGTCTGCCCTGGGCACAGGCAAGAGGAATATGGCCGTGTTTGTGGTGTATTTACTATCAACAGTTATCTCAACACCTTCCTACTCTACATACCAAAATCCAGGTCAAGGCAATAAATATTTGAATACCCATTGTGAATCACTGTGGGATGGGGGACGAGGAGCCATACAAAATGAAGTAGATACAAGATTTGTTCTATTCCAGAGCTTACTTTTAACTGAGAAGACCACGTATTCAGGAAAGCATCTGGATGTAGGAGTCTTGGCCTCAAACATTCCCAATGACTCTTGCCTACTTCCTCCATGTTTAATTGTCTCCAGCTCCCAGGAACATCTTGAGCCTTGCCTTGGGCCTATCTCTGTTCTTGCCTGTGGATTGGGGGTACTCTTTATAAGGTATTAAGGACAGATAAGCCCCAAGTAGAGTCTCTCTTTTGATGTAATCAGAAAACTTGAAAGAACACTGACAAAGAGAAAGGACATTGTGTGTCCAGAAGTCAGTTCCCTCTTATGTCTGAATCTTCAGAACAGGCACATTCTCTGCCTCCTCTTGTTTTTGGAAATCCCCAGGACAGAAGCCACTCAAGGAGAGGGTCTCATGGATGATACAAACAGATGTACACATGTAGAGGAGAGTCTGCTTTGGCCGCCCTTATACAGCCTGACCATGTACACAAGTCACTTGGGACGGTGTTAAAATGTGGAGTCTAATTCACCAGGTCTGGGATGGGGCCTGAGGTTCTGCATCTCTAACAAGCTTCCAGGGGGTGCTGGTGTACGGACCTCACTTTGGGGATCAAGGGGCTCTGTCACCAATGATAGAATGCACGGTGCAGACTAGGTGCTGCAGGAAGACAGAGACTGGGACTTGGGAGAAGGGAGGGGGCGCTGCATAGCACAAGAGGGCACAGTGAAGGAAAGGGCAGGAAGGGAAGGGAGAAGCTTTCTGAGCATCTGTTTGGAAGTGCCAGCCTACAGCCCAGCACATGCCATAAAAAATAAATAAAATAGAAAGTTCCTTTCTTCCTTCCCTCCTCCTTAATCCTCGTGACCTCAAGGAGTAAGTGGAATAACTGTTTCCACCCTCCTGCCACCCAACACACATTTCACATAGGGAAACAGACTCAGAGGGACGGGTAAAGAGTCAAGCCTGGAATGGCAGAAGCCAGCTCCTGCCTGCCTATTTCCACTCCTTAGAGCTTGCAACCTGGAACCTGAAAAGAGCCTGCAGGGGATGTGTTGATGTTTGCAAAACCGGCATAAGGGCCTTTGTCCAAAGGCCTCCAGTTTCCCAAATAATGAGGCCAGTTGGAAGCCGTTAACACAGATGGGAACCAGCCAGCAGCAGGTGAACAGCCACTCAACCTATCAGCACTGCTTTAACCTATAACATGCTCCTGGCTTCTGCACCCCCATTTCAGGGGGCCTGAGCCCCAGGTGCACCTGCCAGCTAAGGAATGGTGTCCAGGCAAGAAGTGTGGGTCTCCACCACTATGAATTGGTTTCCACATTCTCCCATTTCCAGGAGCCCCTTGGGAGAACAGTTTCTCTGGGTTAATATATAGTGCTAATGATGGGTAGCTGGCGGGAAAGAGTAAGGTCTACTTGATCCAGGGCTTGGAATGAAGCCAGGATCTCTCTGGCTGTAGATTCTCTCTCTCCTTCCAGGTTAGTGTGCAGTGTGGGGAGATTAAGATGTATAGTCTGCAAATGAACTAACCTTTTCCAGGCCTCTTTAATGAGGCTTCCTATAATAGGGCCATTTCTCTTTCGTATGTATGTGTATATATTCACACACACACACACACACACACACACACACTCCTTAACATAATCCATATGGAAATAAAAATCTCTCTGTTGCTCTATATTTTTAAGTGGACCCTATAACAGGTAAAACTTTTTTCTCCAAATGAAAATCCACGGTTCAACAACATGCATTTCCAGCAAATCAAAAAGGTAGTTCCAGCCAGCTGGCTAGGCTCCCTCTTAAAACTCAAGGGTAAGGGCAGCAAGTAACCAAATGGACCAACAGTTCTTCTACGGCATAATGGCAACCCAGCACAAGGCAAAGTCAAGTCCTCACAAAACATCAATTCTGGGACTCTCTCTGGACAAACGAACATGAGCAGCCTCAAACCCGAGATCCTTGTAGATAGGGAATATGAATTCTATGTCATTTAGACTTTCACCTACCTAAAGGGATGTATAAGAATGTTTTCATACTGCTTTAAAGAACTGCCTGAGATGGGGTAATTTATAAAGGAAAGAGGTTGAATTGACTCACGGTTCAGCCTGGCTGGGGAGGCCTCAGGAAACTTACAATCATAACAGAAAATGAAGGGGAAGCAAAGCACCTTCTTCACAAGACAGCAGAGAGCAGTGCTGCGTGAAGAGGAAGAGCCCCTTATAAACCATCAGATCTCGTGAGAACTCACTCACTATCAAGAGAACAGCATGGGGGAAACCGCCCTCATGATTCAATTGCCTCCACCTGGTCTCTCCCTTGACACATGGGGATGATGGGGATTATAATTCAAGATGAGATTTAGGTGGAGACCCAAAACCTAACCATATCCGGGAGAGAATTCTAGCTTCCGATAACATTAAGCATCTTCTAACTTTAAAATGTACAGGGGGAAAAGGCAGATTCTCAAACCATCCTTCTAATGCTTGATTTCTCAACAGCCATCACAATAATCTATGTCAGGGCTGCGAACAGGAACCCCCTGAGGATGTCAGCTATTTCAACTTCATCCAGGATCTGAGACCCTTCTGACTTTAACCCTCCTAAAGAGCAGGGACATTCTCAGGCCTGTCTCAGAGCATCTGAACTCAAGACATCAAGCGATGAGCAGTTGCTGAAAATTGAATTTTCTGACCGCAAGGTAATAAAACTAGAAATTACTTTTTAAAAAGTATTTTGAAAAACCTCGACCACTTAGAAATTGAAAGGCACTCTCCCAAATAATTTGAGACAAAGGGAAAGTCAAACCCAACAATTACAACAAAGAAAATAACAATAATAAGAATACTGCATACTTTTTAAATCGCAGGGTACGTGCCCAAAGCTGTAATTAGAAGCAAAAGTCATAGTATTAAATGCTACTATTATTATATTTAAAAGAATAAATAAAAGTAACTCAGGAAGTTAGAAAAGAATAACACAAAGCAAAGTTAAAAGGGTTATTAACAAAGGGAAAAGGAGAAATCATAAATTTGCATTATAAAAATTCAAAACGAAGATACAGACAAAGATCCAAGAGATTTAATCAAAAAAAAAAATAAGCAAGATACACATAATTAGGAGGAAGAGAGTTGGTGCAATAACCACTAGGATGGAAAAGATTAAAAAATAGCAAAGCCTCTTGATCATGTGCAAAAATCTATGTTAAAAAGTTTGCTGCATCCAGAAGGTTAACATTTTAATTATAAAAATAGTTCTCCCTATTTCTAGATAAAGCATACTAGTAATAAATTGGAAAAACAACGTTTCCATGATAGAAAAATGTGAAAAAGACATGAATAGGCAATTCAGAATAGAATAAAAACATACAGGTAATTAACATTTAAGAAAATGCCCAACCACATGGTAAATCAAGGAAATAAAAGTAGAAAAAACTGTGATGTTATTTTTCCCCCTAACAATCAAATTAGCAAAGTTTTGGCTCTGTGGTGGTTCTTGCTTTGAGTGACTACATCCAGAAAGAATAGAGATGAGGTGAATTATTATAGATGCTCTCATACATGAGTGAGAGGAACATAAGTTGGCAAATTAATTTATCCCTTCTGAAAAATGTTGTGTAAGCATCTCAGGTGAATGTCTAGCAACTTCCCTTGAAGGGAGATACTCGATAAACACTATGAAGCAGGACCTGATTTCTACAGATTTGAGAGTTCCAAGCTACCAAGAGAGTCAACTTGAGGCCAGGAGTTTGAGACCAGCCTGGCCAACATGGTGAAATCCCGTCTCTACTAAAAATACAAAAATTAGCCGGGCATGGTGGTGCACTCCTGTAGTCCCAGCTACTTGGGAGGCTGAGTCAGGAGAATCCCTTGAACTCGGGAGGTGGAGGTTGCAGTGAGCCAAGATCACGCCACTGAACTCCAGCCTGGGCGAGAGTGAGACTCCATCTCAAAAGATAAGAAAAAGAAAAAGAAAACAAGGTCTTTAGAAAGATAATTAAGTTAGAGTGAGATCATTAGGGTGGGCCCTAATCCAATGCAACTGGTGTCCTTACAAGAAGAGAAAATTTGGACATAGACAGGTACAGAGGAAAGGCCTTGGGAACACACAGGGCGAAGGTGGCCACCTGCAGGCCAAGGAGAGAGGCCTTAGAAGAAATCAACCCTGCCGCAGTTTGATCCTGGACTTCCAACCTCCAGAACTGGGAGAAACATCATTCCTGTTGTTTAAGCCATCTAGTCTGTAGTACCTTATAATGGCAGCTCCGGCAAACAAACACTCTAGGTGTGTTGATAATTTGTTAGATTAAAAAAAGCCAAGTTATAAAAGAGGACTTAAGATATAAGATTTGTGTAATTAAATCATACATCCAATGTGTATGTGCATGTGTGCGTGAAAGTGTATTCCCACAGAGGATAATGTTTGGAATGTTATAGACCAAAATGTTCAGAGCGGCCTTTCTCTGGACTGGGGGGATTACAGGTGATTTGAGGGAGTAAGGTTGTAGTTTGTGTTCTTTCTAATCAACACTACTTGATCAGTGACCATATATTTACTGTGATATTCAAAAATATTTATTTTTTTTTATGTTTCTTTCTATTCTTTATTAATGTCATGAAGTAAATCACTAGTGGATGATGTCTTTTAACTTTGTTTTCCTAGTTACCTCTTTTGTGTTGTTATTTTGTCTTTTTTTTCTTTTTCTTTTATTTTTTATTATTATACTTTAAGTTCTAGGGTACATGTGCACAACGTGCAGGTTTGTTACATATGTATACATGTGCCATGTTGGTGTGCTGCACCCATTAACTCATCATTTACGTTAGGTATATCTCCTAATGTCATCCCTCCCCGCTCCCCCAACCCCACGACAGCCCCCGGTGTGTGATGTTCCCCTTCCTGTGTCCAAGTGTTCTCATTGTTCATTTCCCACCTATGACTGAGAACATGTGGTGTTTGGTTTTTTTTGTCCTTGCGACAGTTTGCTGAGAATGATGGTTTCCAGCTTTATCCATCTCCCTACAAAGGACATGAACTCATCCTTTTTTATGGCTGCATACTATTCCAAGGTGTATATGTGCCACATTTTCTTAATCTAGTCTATCATTGATGGACATTTGGGTTGGTTCCAAGTCTTTGCTACTGTGAATATTGTCGCAATAAACATATTTAAAATGGCATGTACATATCTAATAATAATCATAGACTGCCCACATATGATACCATGTGCCAGGCACTTACTGTTCTATCTATTTGAACTCATTTAATCCTCACCATCACCCCACAAGGCAGGGACTATCTCCATTTTCCAGATGAGGAAACTGAGGTAGAGACAGGTTATGTAACTTGCCCAACATTACACAAAGCTGACAAATAGCAGGGCCGGGCCACCAAACTAGTTGGTCTGGCGTCATGTCCATGATCTTAGCCACAAAGCTATCCTGCCCCACTCTAGAAGCCTGGTGAATTCATTGGCTTACTAAGAGTTTATCTGAGCAAATTTGGTTGAGTGTGAGATTTGATACAAGCATGCATGAGCACACACAAACATACTCAGCAACATTTAGCTGTTCTTCGTGGTTCATCAGAGTACTAGAGTCCTTTCCATTTAAGGTTCACAATTTAATTGGATTCAAGACCCCATACCTGACAGGGTGACACCGCTCTCGTTAATATATGGAGGAAGATCTCAGATGCTCCACTTTCCCGAGTTCCAGGGAGCTGACCTGTATGCTCTTGAGCAGGGGCAGGGTAAGCAACCCATTCATATTTTATAAGTTTGTTTAATGGAGCCTTATTTTTTGGGCTATGTATTTTTAAAGACTGCGTAGCTTAGATTGATGGAGTCGCTACACTGATTCTCCTCTTACAAGCCAGAGGGCTGGAGGAAGCTCAGCCCTTCTGGGGCCCAGGAGGGACAAGAAAGAGTCGCAAATGGACAGAGCTACCTAAATGCCCATCAGTAGGGACCCGGTAAAATAAATTATGTTCATCCCCGTAATGGAATCCATGCAGCTGCTAAAAACAATGAACTAGAGCTATAGGTACTTTCAAGGAAGGGTGTCCATGATAGATCCTTAAGGAAAAAAAGGCAAGTCAAAGGTCATTAGAAATAAATAATATGATGCTATTTGGTGATAGAAAATTGTATGTGGTGTGTGTGTGTGTGTGTGTGTGTGTGTTATAATAACTAAGGATTTGGAAAGTGGTTGAACAGACTAGCGTTCACATCCCAGCTCCCTTACTAACTAGGTGAGTGACCTCAGGTTTCTTAACCCCTCTAAGCCCCAGTAGCCTCATCTGTAAAATAAGGGGACACCTAGTTCCCATCCCGTGCATAATATAGCCTGAAGACAAAAGGAGATCGTGCATGGAAAGCATTTTCATGTGCTTGGCACGTATTAAGCACTCAAAACACACTCGTTCCTCTTCTTCTTGGTGCATAAAAAGGGTGCGTAAGAACATCTGCCCATCTCTCCCACTGTTCATTCCTGGAAACTGGTGAAAGAAGACTCACTGTTCACATCATACATTTACACCATATTTAAATTTCTACAGTGTGCATGTTTGATGCTGTCATTAAACATCACATTGTAAAATTCTGTAAACATGCACATTGTAAAATTCTGTAAAATGTGCACATTGTAGAATTTTAATTGTCATTAAAATACAATCAGGTGGACTTTTTTAATAAAGGAAGCTGACTGTCCTTTCAAAAGGAAACATATGAATTCTGAAACGTCCAACAGTCTCATTTCCTGTGAGCTAGCTGGACATCGCCACACTCCTGGGGCAGGTATCCTGGGTGGGATGGAGGATAGCTGAGTGAGTCTTTCTGAATCTCTTCGGTGGGAATTGATGAGGGTATTTGCATATTCCCAAGATATATTGCATTGGCAATAAAGTCCACCCTAAATTAATCCATACCTGCCCCTATTTCAGCTCAATTCAAGCCTTCTAAACAGATGAGGCTGGGACAAGTCAGCAAACGTAAAACCATTCAGGGGCCGTGAGAAGAGATGTAATGGTGAACAACAGCAACAACTTCCTGAGCACTTACAACTGTCCAGCACTGTGCTAGATACTTCTTCTGTGTCATCTCATTTCCTATTTTATAGAAACTCTTTAAGATAAGTAGTGACTGGTGCCCTTTTTACAAAGGAGGCAACTGAGGCTCAGAGAGTTAGTGATACTTGCTCAAGGTCGCACAACACACAAAAAAGCCAGAGCTTGATTCCAAGTCTACCTGGTCACAAAATCTAATCTTCCCTGGGGGGCACAGTAACAACCTGTGTATTCTGTCATAGGGAAGAGGGGATGGACTCTTAGCATGGGAAATTAAAGACATAAATATTCCCTGCTATCTAAATAATTGTACAAATTTGGTTATATTTGTGACTCCCCCTCTCCTTGAAATTTTCAAGATAGTCCCAGTTCAGTATTTCCCAAATTGTTTCTGGGATACCGTTTTGTTTTGTATGATACTAGTAAGTGTTCTGTAAAGAAAGGGGTTCTAAGGTCTAGTAATTCTAGGGAACTTAAGTTCTAGGAGTTTAAGCACATTTGACTTCCCAAGAAGGTGCTATTGAGCCTAGCATTGCCCAAACTTATTTGGTCATAGAACCCTTTTCTTGGGAAGCATACGCCAGAACAGAATTTGCTTAGACAAATGCTAACCTAAATAAACATGCTTTTATTTTTCTTGCTTGCCTTTCCAAGTACATTCAAAATAGCACAAAAGTGTTTAGATCTAAAACTGCAGGAAAAAGTTTCCAAGTCTTTCCCCAAATCATCCCTATGCCTCCAGAAATACACAGTATTTTATATACACCTGGATATAAGACTATGCCAAGTATAAGACGTCCCTACATATAAGGAGAGCCCACGCAAAAGAATTTTTGACCAACATGAATTTACAAACTTCTAGGGAATAGATGAAAGAGTCAAATACTTATCATGTGAAATTTATCAATTTGATGTATTTTTTCATTACATGCAGTGTAAAATAATGTTGATGTAGAAAATCTACTTTCTCCCATTCTACATCTCAAGATCCCTTTTTTCCCTTTTATTGATATACGATAATTTACATATTTATGAGGTACAAGTGAGTGTTTGTTGCATGCAAAGAATGTGTAACAATAAAGTCAGGGTAATTGGGGTATCCATCACACTGTGTGTTTATTATTTTTATGTGCTGGTATCACTTCAACTCCTCTCTTCTAGCTACTTTGAAATACACATATTATTGTTGCTAAGTATAGTCATCCTAGTCTACTGTCGAACATTAGAACTTAGTCCTTCTATCTAGCCGTATATTTGTACCCATAGCAGACGTCTCTTCATCTCCACTATCCCCCACAACCTTTCCAATCTCTGATATGAATCATTCTATTCTCTACATCCATGAGATCAAGTTTTTTAGCTCCCGCATATGAATGAGAACATGCAGTATTTGTCTTTCTGTACCTGGCCTATTTCACTTAACATAATGACCTCCAATTCCATCCATGTTCTGCAAATGACATGATTTCATTCTTTTTAGTGGCTGAATAGTAGTCCATTGTGTATATATTTTCTTTATCCATTCAGTTATCTGGAGGCTTCTATCACATTTTCTTTATCCATTCATCCATTGATGGGTATGTAGGTTGATTCCATATCTTTGCTACCGTGAATAGTGCTGCAATAAACATGCGACTGCAGGTATCCCTTTGATATACTAATTTCTTTGTTCTTTGAATAGACCAGTAGTGGGATTGATGAGTCATATGGTAGTTCTATTTCCAGTTTTTTGAGAAATCCCCATACTGTTTTTCAGGGAACAATTTGATTCCAATTCTTCGCCTGCATCTTTTTCTTAAGAAAGCCACTTTTTGTACTCTCTTATACAGCATTTCAGTGCATGTCATGGTTGCTTCTGCCCAAGTTATTTGGAAACACAACCATTTTAGACCCATGCATTGTACTGTCATTGAAAATGTTATCCCAGACTGCAAGTACCAATACTCATAACATGGGTCCAGCTGGGCCAGTTATGATTTTCCCCCTGTTCTTCCTCTAGGTGTTTGTGATCTCCGCAACCTAACTACTTACAGAGTTGTTCATAAAGTGAGCCTTGGAAGTCTGGTTTACATGACATCAAACACTGGCAGGTCTGAGTCACAGTTCCTGAAATTAGTCTTAAGTCCTGTTGATTCTAATAGATGAATGCTAGATGCTTCCAGAGAACTAGCTTTGATATTGAAGTTATTCCCAAATAGGACTTCACTGGTGTAAATAAAATAATTGTGGGAGTGGACACTACAGTGTCCACTGGACACTGTAGTATTTCTGGACAGCTACAGTATTTATAAAGGGAAGACTTCACTTCTAAGAGGATGACTCTGCTCCATCAGCAATGAGCAGGTTAAGCTAAGCACAAGCTTTGCACTCAAGCTCGGGAAGGAATCAGACCTGATGTGGCACGGGCCTCTTTCTGCCTAGGACCAGGAAGAGTGAGGGCAAGAAAGGAAAAATTATTGATATAAGGAAAACACTCAATTGCAACCTCATGAGTAAATGGGCCATTTATCCCCCAGTCCGGAGTTCCTTGAAAAGGTGACCGTCCATCAATCCCTCCTCTGAGCTGCCCCTTGATGAGCTGTTCTATCAATGGGCTAATTTAGCTGATTACAGAGGAATTTGAGAGGAATGGGCCGCCAGAGCCTGGGTCTGGGCCAGCAATGCATTAACTCAGCCAGTGTCTCCATCGCCCTCCACTTGGGACCGATAGGGGCGTCTTATTCCTGAAAACATGTCCCATGATGTGCTTCTGTTAAACTCAGCTCCAGCTTATCAGGTGCTAGGGTGGAAAACCTACTGCTATGGGGCATGGACTGTTCTGTCCTCTGAGTCCTTGGTGGGGGAGGATGACCTCTGGGACCAGTGCCAGGCTATTCTCGGCTCCTGGTCAGCAGCATGTAGACACCCAGCCCTCTAGGAAGGGAATGCAGAAGAGATGGAGAGGCCTAGGCTGAACCATCATTGCTCCTTTAATCCCCTGACTTTTGACAGCATACAAGGCTTGGAAAATGCCCCACCCTTCTTCAACACTGGAGGGCTAACTCACATTCAGGTGAAATGGATGGACAATCATAATGGGAATCTCTCTACTCCCCCAAAAAACAATTGCCTTTAAAAATCTCCCCCAATTTCTTCTAAAAGCTCCTGCAACTCCAATTGTTTGGATTAAAGTGCTTCCCTATTTAGATATTCCACTTAAAACATTGTACTGTTAGCAATTTACACTTTAGTACAAATTAGTCTGTCCACTCTATCTAACACTCTGGGAACAGGGTATAGAATGGTAAGTTTCAAAGACATAAGTTGATCCACAGGAAAGGAGGGCTGAAGGGTGCTACAAGTTAGAGAGCACAAAGACATTCAATTCTCTGCACAGATGGAGCACAGCAGGTTCAATGGAAGGAAAGGAAAAGGAAAGTACTCAAAGAGGAGGAAAGAGGACCCAGGTAACACGCTTTTTGCATTCTCAGTTTTGCTGAGAGGGACCCCAAATCTAGAAAATCATGAATCTTCCAGCTCAAGTTCCCATTTAAAGAATAAGGGAGCAGCTTTATAGAGGTGTCTATAAGGTGATTTGGAGTACCATCAGTCATCTTCATTAAGAAGAATTTGAAGCCATCCTACCCCCTTTTGGTGCATTTTCCTCAAGTGACTGTGTTGGGATACAAACAATCCCATTTGTTTATTTCTCCAACTTAAAACCCAAGCCCATTTATATTAAGAAGTCTTTTGAGTGAAAGGAACCAAATTGAAACAGCTTGAGCAAAAGAGAAAATGCATTGGCTTGGGTAGCTTTCGAGTTTAAAGGCCCAGGTTTCAGTCATGGCTTGATCCAGGGGCTCAAATGATGTTATCAACAATCTGTTTCTTTTCAGCTCCCAGGTCTTCTCTCCACTCTTTGTTGATTTTATACCCAGACAGGCTCTCCATTTGTGCTTCCCAAAAAGGCTGCTAGGAGCTCCAGACTCCCATTCAGCCGGCTTAGAAACCTGATAGAGAATAACTCTTTCCTAAAAGCTTCAGCTGAAGCCCAGAGCTGATTCTCACTGGACCCATTTGTGTTTCACACTCATCCCTCAATCCATCACTGGGGCTCAGGGATGGATTACACAGACTGATGTGACCCAGCCTCATGCCCAGCTCTGCATCTAACTGGAGGTCCGCCCCCAACCCCAAGCCATTGACTTGAGAGTAGAAAGAGGTGGTCTTCCAGTGAAAAATCAAAGAGCTGCTTCCAGATGAAGAAGCGGGAGATTCAGGGCAGGGACACAACAGGGTCCCTTTAAGGCTCATAAATAGATTAGTGCAATAAAGTGTACTGGATTCCCACACGGGAAATTCTAGAGTCCAGTAGGAGTGAATACAGAGGCAGGAATAATTTCAGTGATTCCAATAGACCTTATCAAGACAGGTTAATCTCCCTGTAAAGTTTGAGCCCATTTCCTGATGTCCTGAAATCTATTAATCATTTTGGGTTCCCATCTCAGCTGGCCTAACCAGGGCTTAAATGGCCTACCAAAGACTGCAGCTAATGAGAAGAGATTTGGCCACATAGGAAGTGTATGGGGTTGGGTTCCAGGAAAATGGGTTTCTTTCTTCATCTTAAGGAGTAACTCTACAAAAGCTGAGTGGCTTCTCTAAGTCCCTTGCTCAATTCAACCCACATTTACAGAGCAACATAGAGTGGTGGGTAAGAGCTTCTTTGTGATCAAAGCTGTGTTGAGATTGGCAGCTCTTCTGTGTGACATGGGGCTACTGACTTAACGTCTCTGAATCTGTTT